>NW_019805487.1:0-44955 GCF_000001405.40 Homo sapiens
AAATCTGGCCTTTTCAGGGTTGAATGTCTGGGAATGGCCTGAACAGCTGGGTGTTGAAAGCACACAGATAATTTCTCAGTCATGTGTCTGATAGCTGAGCTGGGATGGGTTTGAAGACTGCACTTGGCTGAGGATGTCAACCAGAGTTCTACCTGTAGCCTTTGCATGTAGCTTGGGCTTCCTCACTGCATGGTAGCCTTAGGGGTAGTTGGACTTCTCACGTAGCCGCTTTTGGGACCTAGCCTGGAAGTGATACAACTTCTATCATATACCATTGGTCAAAGCAGTCACAACCCTCAGACATTCAAGGAGAAAGGGCATAGACTCCACCTCTCTATGGGAGGAGAACTTAAAGAATTTGTGATAATGTTTTAAAATTGCCACTTTTTGTGGTGGAGAATATTGCTGTTGCAGAAACTTGGTCAAAGATCATCTCCAATTCTAGGTGCCATATCTAAGTTTGACCCATCCCAGTCAATCATTCAGCAAAGGCACATGGCATGTTCTCTTCTATTCTGGAAACCAAGAAGGCAGGCAGGAGGCTGGAGCCCTGCAATACTTGCAGAGACAGTCACCTCCTTTCTGTGAACCCAGGACTATCCATTCTCCGCTTGCACATAAAAGTTTTCTCTTCTTTAAAAACAAGAGCAGCTTATGGGGATCACACTAGTTGGTCTGATTATCCTAAGGATAGTTGGCCAGCTTATCCTAAGGAAATCCTGGGTTCATGATTCTACATTTGATGCAGTGAGAAAGCCTTGTCTCCTGGACCAAAGGTTGACCTGGGCAGCATGGCCATGGTCCTCATCCTCAGCCTGATGCACAGTGGAAGCCATGGTGGGACCCTCGCTGCCTCTGAGCTGATCTTTATCCCTTTGATGGAGATGATCTCTGCCCAGGGGGAACAGGCTTCTAAGTAGGAGGAGAGGGAGGTGCTAACTACAGAGGCTGCCCAGCTGAAGTTTTTCCAGTGTCATCTGCTCTCTGTGTTCCTGGCCAGGCCTGGCCCTGGAAAATCCCCATTGTTCTCCACAACCCTATATAGAACCCCGGTCTGAAGTGTTCCAGACTCAGAATGTAGCCCCATCCTGGCCCAGCAAAAGCCTGTGGTTTAAGAGCTTTTCTGTTAGGGTGGATTTAACAACCGAGTTTCCAATTGATTTCTAGAGGGAAGTGGGGATGGATTTACAGTTCCTAAAATAGGTTTGCAGCCTTGATGTGAATCTGTACGAGAAAGCAGTGGGCAGGAAGTTATCGATGTGACCTCTGACCCTGGGGAGGGAAAGATAATGAGGGGTTTATGATAAATCCATCTTCTTGGGGTTTATCGCTAGGCCCTTAGATATATGACTTGGTGCAGACAAGTGGCTCTCCTAGTGCCACAGGGAGGAGGACTGTGAGGCATGAACTCCAGGAAGTAAGCTTCACCCGATGTCTTCCGCCCAGGCTCTCAGAAGACTGGCTCTGCCCTAAGACCTCTGGCTTTGCAAAGGGTTGAAGTCTGCAAAGTTCCTGGGAACTGCACAACTTGAGTCATCTCTGGAGACCTGGGGGCTGGCTTCCCCACCTGCCCTCCTGAAGGCCCCAGCTGGCCCTTCTGTTCCTGCAGTGCCCTCCCCATGGTGGGGTCATCGATCTCCCTGCAGGCTTCGAGAACAAGGCAGGGAGGAGGGAACCACCTTGGCTGTGGGTTTGGGAACAGATGGGCCCTGGGTTTGAATTATGTGGGATTCTCCCACTCACTAGCTGTGGGGCCTCGGGGAGTTCCATGCCCAACCTGGCAGTTTCCTAGCCTGTGCAATGTGGGGTGAGATTTCCCTCCAAGGATGCTGCAGGATTCAATGAGATGAATGTGTGTTGGGAGCCGCACAGCACTTGGCATGGGTGGGTGGGATGTGGGACCTGGACAAAGACAGATCCAAGTTAGAGCCAACTCTGATGGCCATTATCTGTGTGATCCTGGACACGTGTCTCAGCCTCTCCCGGGCTCAGTTTGCCCCACTGTGAAGTGGGAATAGAGTCGTCGTCATGACAAAGGGGCAAACGAAGATCAGGTGCTCAGTGCCATGATGGGCGTGAGGTCAGTCATCTTTGGACAGTTTTGCTACCCCCTTCTCCTGGGCACTGCCTGGGCAGCAGATGCCGGCCTGGCCCTGAGCCTGTGCAGACAAAAGCGAGGGACTCTTGGTTCCTGCCTACGTCTTGTGCTGATAAAACTGAGAAGATAAAGCAGCTTCCAGGATGGTGCAGTGGAGAGCGGGTCAAAGCACAGGCGTCTGAATCCTGGGTCAGCAATGTCACCAGTTGCAAGGACTCAAGGAGGCCACTTTCCCTCTCTGAGCCTCAGTTTCCTCATCTGTAAAATGGAGAGGATGATGAAGATCCCAGACATGACACAAGGTAGATGCTTTCTGTGTGCAACCCTACAACAGCCATGCAAAGCAAGCATTATGGGCGGTCCCATTTCACAGGTGGGAAAACTGAGGCTTAAACAGGGGAAATTCCTTGCTCAAGGTAACTAGGACATGGTGGAGGCAGGATGTGAACCCAGGGATTCTGGCCCCAGGCGCACACTCTGGTCTGCTCCTTGGGGTTGCTCTGAGGATCCCTAAGATGAAGGCCGAGGTTGGGCTCTGCAAACTCCAAAATGCTGCGGAAAGACCAGACGCAGTCCCTTCTACGGGGGATGGAATTTCAACCTGACAGGTGTGGCTGGACCCTGTAGACCGTGAAGTGCTGTGATAATTGTTACCAACATTTCTTGAGCACCACCTAAATGCCAGGCACCGTGGCAACACTTTACGTTCAGCATTTCATTAAATCTGCTGTGAGGTGGGAATCGTGAGTCCACCTCACAGATGAGGAAACTGAGGCTCAGATGGTAAAGCCCCTTGGCCAAGGTCATACACAAACTGGAATGTCAACACAGGTCTCTCTGACTCCAGAGTCCAAATTCTTACCTGCAGGAACATTATTCTGTCCCTGTCCACATTACTCCTAAACGTTAGGACATGGCTCAGGATGTTCTGCTGTGCCCACCTGCTGTTTAGGTGAAGAAGATGGGCTGAGGTCAGAGTTGGGTGACCGTGGGGCCTGGAGTAATCAGGGCTTCCTGGAAGGGGTGGATTACATGCTGAGGGTGGAGGGGTGGACAGGGCTGACTGGCCTCTGGGACAGAGAAGGTGCTGGGGAGACTGAGCTCTGACTCTGTGAGGAGCAAGTGTGGGGCCAGGTTGAGGGTCCAACCCAGGGCTCATTTCGGGACAGAGGTGGGGTCTTCCAGAGTCACTCATGTGGCTAGAAAATGCCCAGACCCGACTGCAGGCTCTGATGTTCCCCCAGTATCTTTCGTTGTCAGAATAGCTGGCTTCTTCCTCTTGTTAAGAAGTTGCATGTTTTCTCATATTTCAAAGTCACGGTTTTATCAATTTGGTGTCTCAGACCACACAATCAGGAGGTGAGTTGTAGCTTTCTCCTCTGCCGTATACTCAGTTTTATTGACTTATCCTTCCTCATTTTTCAGCAAGTAATTCTTTCCATGAGCTCCCATTGATTTCTGGATTGAAATATTTCTTGATGCACTTTTTAATGAGAGTCCTGTCTCAAGTGCACTAGCATCAGGTTAGAGCATTTCACTTTGAGCCTCTTTCATTGTAAAAACAGCATCAGTTCCCACTGGGAGAGTGGTGTACCCTTCTCCTGGTCCTCACTGGAGCCATGTTGTGTACCATCCATCTGGGACCCTAGCTGCGATGACAATGTACCCTTCTCCCAGGGGCCTCACAGGGGACACAAGTGCCCCTCCTTCTGAGGTCCTCCTGGGGACATCTGTGTCCCCTCCTTCTGATCCTCACTGGGGAGGTCTGTGCCCCTCCTCTTGATCCTCACTGGGGACGTTTGTGCCCCCTCCTCCTGAGGTCCTCCTGGGGACGTCTGTACTCCCTCCTCCTGGTTCTCACTAGGGACTTCTGTGCCCTTCCTCCTGGTCCTCACTGGGGAGGTCTGTGCCCCTCCTCCTGGTTCTCACTGGGGACGTCTGTGCTCCCTCTTCCTGGTCCTCACTGGGGACACCTGTGCCCCTCCTCCTGGGATCATCATTGAGGACATTTCATCTGTCGTGTAAGAAGCTTGAGCCCAGGGCCAGGCAGGTGGCAGCTGCTCCACAAACACCAGCTCCTCACTGTCCTCAAGGGGATCCCTCCCTAGCTGGGTGTTAGTGCAGGTGCATCGTGCAGGGCCGGTCAGTGTCGCCCTACATGGAGTGTCCCCACTTCCCTCCTGCAGTGTCATTGTCAGCAAGCATTCATTGAGCACCAACCGTATGCCAGGCCCTGTGCTTAGCCCTGGGCTCCCAGAAGATTCTTCTGAAATGAGGATTGGTCACATCCCTTTCCTCCTGACCCTTCAGTGGCTTCTCCTTCCCTCCAGGATCAAGTGCAGACCCCCCACTGCTGCTCCCAGGCCTGTGTGGCCCAGCCCTCGCCCTCCCTCCCCTCCCTGCTGTCTCTCCCATGGACACTCGAGCGCTTTGCTGCCACAGGGCCTTTGCCCACGCAGTTCCCTCCACCTGCAATGCCCTTTCCTGCTCTCCTCTACTTGGCCGGTCCCTTTGATCTTCATCAGCTTAAATGTGACCTCTCCCCCCACTGCCCCACAGACTTGGCTCCCCTCACCCCAGCTTCTTGGCATTCCTCTGGTTTCTCTCAGCACCTTCTGTAATTCTTTCCTTGGGGGTTTACTGGAATCACTGTTGCTCTCACTAGTCCATGAGCTCCAGGCGGGCAGGGGCCTCATGGGTCCTGTTCCTGGGTATTTCCAGGGCCCAGCACACGCCTGGCACAGGGTTGGTGTCTGGCTATGTTCCCTGTTGAGTGGCTGAGTAAATGCAGACCTGGCCCCAGGTCTGGGTCAGTCAGAGGCTGGAGGTGGGGCCTGGGAGCCGCCCTGATGCTGGCAGGACCACCATAGACCTGTGACTGGTGGCGTTGAGGGATCCGTCCCACAGGGACTAGCCTCCTTGGGGAACTGGGGGCTGGGGAGTCGGCCTCCCCGCCCCCTCCCTCCTCACAGTGGTGTTTACCTTCTCAGGTGACCTGGCTCTGTGCAGGGCATGGGCTGGGCCTGGGCTGTGCTGCAGTGATCAACGGCCCTGCGCCCTCAGCAGGAGCAGGCTCCTGCCTCTGCCTGGGTGGCTCAGGGTGGGGCTCGGGGCTCTGCTCACTGCAGTCTCTCACCTCTCACCTGGACAGGGCTTCATGCAGCAACAGGAAGAAGGCATCAACCCTGCCCTGGCCCTTTTTGCCCCTCCTGGAGGTGACACACGCCGCCGCCTCTCACAGCACAGTGGCCAGAGCCAGTCACGTGGCCACATCTCCCTTCAGATTCAAGTGCATTCAGCCACTTGTCAGGAATGTGGGAGCTGGTGATGTCGGGTGCAGCACTCAGAACTTTCACCTGTGTCCCTGGCTGGGCCGAGAGCTACTGAGGGCAGTGTCCCCCATGTCTGCAGCTCCATCGTGCCTGTTCGGGGCTGAGCGCAGAGCAGGAGAAAGCAATGCCCTGTGCAGTCCAAATGGACAAAGGCTGCCCCTGCCCTGTGCCAGGGCCTGTGGGCCCAGAGGTGATGACACAGCCCCGAAGTTGGGGAGTGAGACCTGCGGGAGTCACCACCCAGTGCCCTGAGGGCAAAGCTTTGTCCTTGTGCTCCTGCCCGGGGCAGTGAGTGTGGGTGGTCATACCCTGACTGCGGGTCAGGCTCCCCGGGGCCGGCCCCTCCCCCAGCCTTACTCGCCCTCAGCTGCCCATGCTGTCACTCCAGGTGAGACTGAGCTATGTCCCTTGCCTGAGTCTTCCCTGCCCCCACTCTTGCCTCTGAGCCTATGCCACTGCTGTTCCCTCTGCCCGTGCACAGCAGGGACCTGGGAGGACTCGGGAACCAGGCCCCCTCGGTCTGAAACCTGGCCGGGTGGGTGACCGGATGATGAGCAGTTCCTAACCTCTCTGTGCCTCAGTCTCCTCATCTGTAAATGGGGGTAGTGATAGTGTCTCCCTCACTCTCACGGGGGCTACTGTGAGGATTTAATACAAGTAAACGCTTAGAACACAGCCCCAGCACGTGGCAGGTGACAGCAGCGAGTGATGGTCAGTCCCCACCCTCCACGTCTGCCTAACATCTCACCCTCGGGGCTCAGCATAGACGCTCCTCCCCGGAAGACATCTGGCATCTCTGCATCCCCAGTGCCCAGCACAGGGCCTGGCACATGGAGGCTCCAGCTGTCCCCAAAGGCCACTGAGCCTGACGCCCCCTTCCAGGGACATTTGCCTCCCAGTCAGCACCACGGGAAACCAAATGCCTGAGGTGAGTGGGCGCCAAGTCCTGGTCCCTGCATGGCCCTTTGGGGACATCTGGAGAAGGCTGGGACTCTCCTGCACTCGGAGCTGCCCCTCCCGTGTGTTGGGGGGTGCAGCTCATCACATCTGCTTATGTCACATGTTTGGGCCATTTCTCCTCCTGTGGTTGGCACAGCACGAGTGTCCCGTGCAGCTCTTTTGGGCAACATCAGAAATATTTTGATATGGCCTACGAAATAGACCTTTAGGATTCCAGCAGTGCCAGGGAACTCAGTGGTGTTTGAGACAGACACCCTCACTGTGTCTCTTCGAAGTCTCAGTCGGTACTAAGCCGGGAGGGGCGGGGACATGGGCGTTGCCAGGCATGTGACTTGGCAATGAGATGTGGGATTTGTGCATTTTGACACTAGGCCGTGTCTAACTGTCCACCTCAGATCTCTGGCTTTGCAAATATCAATAGGGTATGTTTAGCTATTTCAGGCACTTAACCTCTTTGGACCTCAGTTAAGAGCTTTGGAGCCTAAACATAGATGTAAATCTCTGTTCAGCCGCCCATGAGCTGAAGGAATGGTTGCTGGTGCCTGCCCTGTTGTGGATCAAGTGCTGAGCTGGGCTTGGGGACACAGGGGTGGGCAGGACAAGGCCTCTACCCTCAAGGAACTCACAGACTGGTATGGACCGGGGGTGAGAGAGGAGAGAGAGGCCCCTGACCAAACTCGGCCAGTCAGGAAAGGCTTTCTAGAATTCAGGGCCTCAGCATACTGCTGCACAGGCTGTGCACTGCACAACTCACACATGGACATGCCGTGAAGGGCGCCCCCTAGAATGTGCAGGCAGCAGCCCTCCCAGAGCACATGCTAGAGCTGTGTTTTGAAGGATAAAGAACTGGTGCAGAATTGTAACACCACCACCACCACCGCCACCACCACCATCACTACCACTGTCACCACCACCATCACCACCACCATCACCACCACCACCACCACCACCACCACCATCACCACCACCATCACCATCACCACCACCATCACCACCACCACCACCATCACCACCACCACCACCACCACCACCACCACCACCACCACCACCACCACCATCACCACCACCATCACCACCACCACCACCATCACCACCACCACCACCATCACCACCACCACCACCATCACCACCACCACCACCATCACCACCACCACCATCACCACCACCATCACCACCACCACCACCATCACCACCACCACCACCACCACCATCACCACCACCATCACCATCACCATCACCACCACCACCACCACCACCATCACCACCACCACCATCACCATCACCATCACCACCACCACCACCACCACCATCACCACCACCACCATCACCACCACCATCACCACCACCACCACCATCACCACCACCACCACCATCACCACCACCACCACCACCACCATCACCATCACCATCACCACCACCACCACCATCACCACCACCACCATCACCACCACCATCACCACCACCACCACCATCACCACCACCACCACCATCACCATCACCATCACCACCACCACCACCATCACCACCACCACCACCGTCACCACCACCACCACCACCACCACCACCACCACCACCACCACCATCACCACCACCATCACCACCACCACCATCACCACCACCACCATCACCATCACCACCACCACCACCACCACCATCACCACCACCACCACCACCATCACCATCACCATCACCACCACCACCACCGTCACCATCACCACCACCACCACCACCGTCACCACCACCATTGCCACCACCACCATCACCAGCACCACCACCATCACCACCACCACCACCATCACCATCACCACCACTACCACCACCACCACCACCACCACCACCGTCACCACCACCACCACTACCACCACCACCACTACCACCACCACCACCATCACCACTACCACCACCACTACCACCACCACCACCACCACCTCTTACTGAGGGCTTTTGCTGTGCCAGGCACTGCCTGTGCCATCTCACTTCATCCTGAAGCAGATTTCCCATTTCTCCAATGAGGACTCTGGAGTCAGAGAACAATTCGTCTGAGGCTACACAGTAGTGAGCTCCAGAATTTGAACCTGGGCTGGTTGGGGCAGAGACTCCTGTGGAGCAGGTGAAATCTGATGTCTGGCCTGAACCCTGGGTGTACCATGTGGTGTATGTTGTATTGTGTGTGTGGTATGCTGTGGTGTGGCATGTTGTGTGTGGTGTATGTGCTGTGGTGTGTGATATGCTGTGGTATGGTGTGTTGTGTGTGCATGGTATATGGTATGATGTGTTGTGTGTATGGTGTGTGTTGTGTGGTGTGGTGTGGGATATGCTGTGGCATGATGTGTTGTGTGTCTATGATGTGGGGTGTGTTGTGTGGTATGGTGTGTGTACTGTGGCATGTGATATGCTGTGGTAAGTCGTGTTGTGTATGTATGGTGTGTGTTGTGTTGTGTTGTGTGTGGTGTGGTGTGTGGTATGTTGTGGGTGTGTGATATGGTGTGGCATGGTGTGGTCTGTTATGTATGTGTGGTGTGGTGTGTGATATGCTGTGGTGTGGTGTGTGGTATGTCTGTGCTGTGTGGTGTGGCATGTGATATGCTGTCCTGTGTGATATGCTGTGGCATGGTGTGGCCTGTTGTGTGTGTGTGGTGTGGTGTGTGGTATGCTGTGGTGTTTGATGTGCTGTGGAGTGGTATGGTCTGTTGTGTGCGTGTAGTGTGGTGTGTGGTATGTGGTATATTTTGTGCTCTGTGGTGTGTGCTATGGTGTGGCATGGTGTGGCCTGTTGTGTGTATGTGCTGTGTGCTGTGGTGTGTGATATGCTGTTGTGTGGTGTGGCCTGTTGTGTGTGTATGTGTGGGGTGTGTGTTTCTCTCACACAGTTGCTGGGTGCTGGGCAGTGGGTCCCCTCCCAGTGGCTCCACCTGCTGCACCCTCCGTGGTTTTGGGTTGGCCTCCAGGGTGGGCTCAATCAGTGGACAGGGATCTGGAAGCTCCAGGAGCCCCTTGTTGGAGACCCTGTCTCTGGGAACCGGAGATGCTGCTCTGGCAGACCAGGTGCCTGGCCTAGCCAATGGTGCTGCTGTGAGAGGGATTTCCAGGGCCTTCCCCGAGGGCACTGGGTGGGACAGGGGGGTGGGTGTTGTAAGAAGGTTCTGGAAGGAAGGAGCGCCATCCTGATCACCCCACACCCTTGCCGCAGGTTCACCAGAGCCCTGCTGGGGGTACAGCACCTGGGCATGCTGTGGGGTTTCTGTTGCCCTGTTTGCCTTCCTGCCACCCTTCACCACCTCCTGACCTGGGAGGGTTTGGGGCACAGGCTTTCCCCAGGGCAAGTGGGGGGCAGCTCCAGGAGGCCAACTGAGCCTCCTACCTCTGGCCCAGGTCCCTCCCTGATGCCAGGCGATCAGGGCAGCAGGGTTGGTGGGCAGCGTGGGCTGGGGTGCATGGCTGCGGACACCCGGAGTCAGTGCTGGGAGGGACTTGGCGCCAAGTGGCCTCTGGAACCTGGCTTTTGTTTCTCTCTCTTAGAGATTCCAATTTCCGGGGCACTTTTTGTCTGTTTTAATTCTCTTGTCTTTCATTGCGCTTTCTCTCTGGGTAATCCGAGGCTTGCTGGCAGCTAAATACGATGTGTACATTAAAATGAAATGCAGCAAATATAATTGAACTTATTTCCTTCATGTCTGAGCAGTGGATTAATCTCTCTGCTGCATCCCTATTTTCTCTTCACTTCCTTCTCCTTTTGTCTGAGGTTTTCCTCCCCTCCCCAGAACCTCTGGGACTGAATGGCTCCCTGGCCCCTGCTCATCAGAGATACACACATGATCCTAACAGTATAGCCCATGACCCTGTGATGGATAAACCATGTTCCCAGGGCGAGGGGAGGGAACCGCCAGTGTCCTCGTGGGCCTGGGAGGGGTCCCCACTGATGATGGGGAGGGTGAGGTTCCGCAAGTGGGACGGGGAGGGGTTTCCCTGGGTGCAGAGACCCTTCCGGGCACACACTCCTGGTGGGTCCTTCTGTTGCTCTAGAGCTGAGACTGTAGATTTGTGATGCTGACTTGCAGCCAAAACGGCTATCGGGGTCCCCAGTGGGCAGTGAATTGGCAGGGACACCCCGGACGTGGCTGTGAGCTCAAGTTCAGGTCAGGAGGGGAGCCAGAGGCATTGGAGGAGGTGAGCAGGAAGGGTGTCACTGCCTCAGCTTACCCACTATGTGGCCTTGGGTGCGTGACTCAACCTCCCTGGGCCTCAGTTTCCCCATCTATAGTATGGGCATATATAGTCACAGCACAAGGGATTACGTGGAGGATTAAATGAAACGATGCCTGTAACATGCTCAGCACAGTGCCTGGTACACGGTGGGTCCTGAGTGAATGGAGGCAGGTGATATTCATTCATTCTCTCACTCAGCCCATTGTGAGGCCTCCTATGTCCCAGGCCATGCACCAGGCATCAGGGAGAGAAGAATCAAACCTCCTGTTGCCTGGGGTAGCTCGTGGTCTAGTGGTGAGACTGGAACCAGCTCTGGGAGAGGGACATAGTGGTGTTTGCGGAAACAGAGAAGGGACAAGCAAAGTCAGCACCCAGGGTAATCAGAGGAAGCCTCATGGAGGAGGGGATGCTCAAGCTGAGCCTGGAATGGGGCCTGGGTTCCAAATAGGCAGGGGTGGGGGGTGTTCCAGGAGAGGACAGCAGGGCAATGTCAGGGAAGCATAAAGAGTAGGGGTGGAGGTGCCAGGGGTGGTATAGCTGGGCCTGAAGCCTGGGGACTGTGGGGACAAGTGGAGGGAGGCAGGGCAGGGAAGGCAGGTGCGGCAAGACCACAGTGGACCTGAGTTTGGACTTTGTCAGGCCGATGCTGGGAGCCATGGATGGTTGTGGGGCAGGGGAGGGCTGTGGTCAGAGCGTCAGGTCCTTCTGCAGACAGCAGCCTTGAGAGGGAGCCATGAGGGAGACAGTGTCCCTCCTGTCACTCCTGTTGCTCAGACTCTACCTGGGGCTTCACAGAGTGAGTGTCATCTGTGTCCCTGATGCGGCCTCAGGGGCTCATAGCTGCAGATGTGTCCCCAAGTCTCTGAGTCTCCCAGGCCCTGCCTCCTTTCATCGCATGTCACTGTGTTCGTTCTTTAGTTGCCCTTCACTCCTCCCTCCCTGCCCTCCTCCTACCAGTGTTCACTGAGCTTCCGTGATGTGCTTGGCACCATTCTAGCGGCTACAGCCATGAACAAACAGATGACAGCCCCAGCCCAGAGCTCACATCCCTGTGGGGGCACAGCTGGTCACCAAATAACTGGGGACCTCCCCTGGGATCAGTGCCTTGAGACATGGTTCCCAGGGTTCTGGGAGCCTGGGCTGGAATCTGACCTTGTCAGGAAGGCGGAGAGGGCTTCCCTGAGGAGGGAGCTCTGGGAAATGTGGAGGAGGTTAGCTCCATGGCCTGGGGACAGTGTGAGCAAAGGCACCTGGGAGGGAGAGAGGGAAGAAGGGAGGGGAATTTAGGGCCTGAGTGTGGTCCCTGGGGCCAGGTGGAGATGTGTGGGACTTGGTGGAAGTTGGAAAAGGTGGGGACAATCCAGAGGTTTCCTGGTAGAAGGTGAAGGCTCCAGCACAGCCAGGGCCAGGGGAGCCAGGTTTGGGGGTGACACTCACTGAGGCCTTTCCCTGCCTCAGCCTCTCAGGTGCAAGAGAGGTTTCTTCTTGCCTCTTTTGTCTGGTGTCTTTTTCATACCCCCCTGTATCCACCCTGTCCCCACCCCGACCCCACCTGCACTCTTTGTTCCCTGGACCCACTCCTTAGGGCCCAGAGAGGGAGCTTGACTTTCCAAGGCCATACGGCAAGAGGGACGGAGCTCCTGGAGAAGGGGTTCCCCACCCACGCTGTGTGGCCTGGGGATGGCTGCCGAGTGTCCCGGGCCACAGCTCTCCGAGGTTCTGCCCGGGCAGCCAGAGGCCAACAGCTGCCCAGCCTCCTGAATCAACACCTACAGGGCGAGCTGACTTTACAGTATATATATATTTTTAGATAGTTCAAAGAGTTGATAAATGGATCTTTTCCTTTTTGTGAATAGTATTTTGCTATTTAATGCTTTCTAACACACAGACTCTCTCTCCCATAGCAGCTAGTGGTCCTTGAGGAAACTGCTCCTGTGATGCTGGAGCCCCTTTCAGGGTGCGCCTTGCAGGGGCTGGGGCCTGGAAGTTGCACCGTGGCCGAGGCTGCAGTTGTTCAGGGCTCCTGGTCTCATCCTCTTTGGTCAGCCCTGTGATTCTTGCTGCCCAGTCCAGGAGGTGGTGAGCTCCCCATCACTACAGGGGCCTCCAGAGTCTGGGCAACCCTTGGCAGGGAACTAAGGCAGCAAATACTGGGAGGAGGTTGTTCTCTGCAGATTTCCCAACCCCACCCTCCATTCTTTCCCAACACCAGAGTGGAGGAGGGGGAGGGAGAACCCAGCAGTTACTTTGTGTGGCAGGTGTGCCGGGCTTGGCACGTAGGGTCTGATTCCCTCCCCTCCCTCTTCATTTCCTCCCCAAGCCCATCCCGAGTTAGGCTGCATTTTCTCCCATTTCACAGACGAAACCTGGGGCTCAGAGAGGTTGAATGAGGCAATAAGTAGCAGAGTTGGGATTTGAACCCAGACCTGCCTGGCTGTTTCCCAAAAGTACTCCTGTCTCCAAAAAAGTACAGTCTGCTCAGAATCGAGTGCTTGCCTTGAGCCAAGCGCTGAGCTCGACTCTTCCCATTTTGTATCTCATTGAACCCTGATGAGCACCTCTAGGGCAGATGCTGTGACTGCCGCTTTTCAGACGGGGAAGCTGAAGCTCAGTGAGGTTGTTACTTGCCTGTGAACTGTGAACCTAAGATTCAGTCTCGGGCCTGTTGCCTGCAGAATCTGTGCCCCAAATATTTGCACTGTGATGTCCCTTCCCCAAGGCCCAACTCATTCCTGTCCAGAAGGTCTTCATGTGGTCTAACCCAATTCCTTCACTCTGGCCTTCAGACTGGATGCATTAGTGTAAGAAACAGGTTATAAACTTTCAGAGGACATGAGAGTTTTATTTTATTCATCTCAGTATGTTCCATAAAAATTAATCACTGCATGAATGAGTAAACGAATACACAGTCACTCTGCATGTTGGTCAGCAGGTAGCCAGGCTGATAGTTGGTGGACACGCAGGTAGGAGGTGGGCAGGAGTTAGGAGGTGGGCAGTGCGGTAGGAGGTGGATAGGCAGTTGGAGGTAGGCAGGGGATAGGAGGTGGGCAGGGGATAGGAGGTGGGAAGGGAGATAGGATGTGGGCATGGTGGGTGGAGGTGGGTGGGGGGTAGGAGGTAGATAGGCAGGTTGGACATTGCAGCTGCTGGGGGATTGACAAGAGAGAACAGTTAGATCTTTTGGAGGGCAAGGAGCTAGCTGTTCAAGTACAAAAATGTTAGTTGGGGAGCATTAAATTGATCTTGGTGCAGCAAATACAAATCTATATATCTGGCTTGTAAATCACCCATTGAAAGGGCCTGGAGATGCCATGGTGGAGAGGCTGGTGCAAGACCTGTGGCCTCACTTGACACACCCCCTGCCACAGTGATGCTGAAAGTGTGTATGTCATAGGGGATGTTGGTCCAGGCAGCCAGGACTAGAGTGAAGAATCAATGTCTGCCCCGAAATCCATCCTCTGGTGCAGAGATAGGTGTGGGGTGGGAGGAATGGGCTGCTGGCCCTGGGGAGCTCTGCCCAGGAAGAGATATCAGCCTAGAGCCGTCTCCGTTCAGCTTCCCTCACCAACTCCAAGGATGGGGGCAACGGAGGGAGGGCCTAGGCAGCGGCCATGTTCACCCCAGCCCCTGTCTGCCTGTTGACTCCCCGACACCAGGACTTTTCCCAGACACCACAAATGTGGGATGCCAGTGGAACGAGAATGACTTTTCAGTTTTGCCAAAAACCTAACTTTGGATGAAACACAATTATGTCAAGTGGTTAACAGAGTTCTCATGGCTGGATGTGTTTTGTTTTATTCCTTGATCTTGTCTGCTTACAAAATGAATTCTGCCAAACCCCATGAAGCCAACTGTCAAAGTGAAGCATTTTGGGGGAACAGATCTTTCACTCTGATGGCAAAATTCATTTGAAATGATCCTTTAATCCAGTCTTCCTGTGAGACCCAGAGCTGAGATTTTAAAGCCTTTTCACCCTGAAAGGTTTTTTTCCCACTTCTCCTGACTGCCCCCTCTCCTGGTGCCCTGTCCTCCATCTCTTAAATAACATGGCAAAGAATTTCAGCTGGCATAATGATGACCATTCGGCTTCTCATGACAACCTTTTAGGGAGGAAATGATAGCACACAAAGCCTTGCCTTTTAATGTCTGTTTGAGGAAGGGAAGGAGGTGCTCATTGTCAATGCCAGCAAGAATTGAAGAAGGGGCACGAAAGGGTAGCTGGGATTTTACAGGCCTGAGGTTTGTGTGAGCAGGAGGGATGTCTAGGAGGATGACAGCACCGTCATCCTTGCTGAGGATGTGAGGCCTGCATTTGGGCTCAGCACTTTACAGTTTACAAAGCACTTTCACTTTCCTTATGCTCATCCATCACTTTATTCAATAGTGTATTTGCTCATCATTTATTCATGCTACCCAACAAATGGAATTGGGTTGACTACGCGCCAAGCCCTGTCTTAGCTCCTGAGGCAGAGCAGGTACAGAGATTAGCAAGATACAACTTCTGCTCTCTAAAGGTTCAAGGATTGGTGAGGGGGACTCACTGGTAGAAAAATACAATAGCTGTGTGTTTTATACAGATTGCTGTGCTGCCTGCAGTTTAGATATTTTGAGCAGCAAGTAAAAAAAAAAAAAAACTCAACAGTGGCTCAAACAATTGGAAAATGAAATGCTTTGCTGTACCCAGATGTTTGGAGGGAGGTGGTTCCAGCTTTGTCAGATGCTCAGGGATGTCAAAGACCCAGGCACTTTCTCTCTTCCATCTTTACCATCCTTGGCTATATTGACTTTTTGTCCTTAGCTTGTTGCCTCATGGTTGCAAGATGGCTGCTATAGCTCCAAACATCATGTCTCACACTACAGCATTCAAGTTGAGAAGGTTGCAGGGTGAGGCAGAAAAAATATTTCCCAGGAGCACTCCCTCCACCAACAGATTTCCCCTCATACCTCAATGGTGAGGTCTGGGTCGTGTGCTCACCCCTAAAACAATCTCTGGAGAAGGGGGATGGGGTGCTTGGCTCAGCTTCACCCCAGGGCTGGAGGACCCCCAGGCCTGAGCCTGTAGCTGCAGAACAAACCCAGGGTTCTGTGAGCGAAGGAGGGAGGGGTGGGGTCACTAGGGGCAACCCCACTTGTCCCCCACCTTCTTGTCAGGGTTTACTGACGAGTGTTCCTGATAGTGTGGAGTCTGGAGTGGGGGTCAAGCCTGGCCCTGGGGACAGAAAGCCCTGTTCTAAGCCTCCACCCCTGTGGGCTGTGTGATCTGGGAGGTACTTGACATTTTCCCTTGTGGAGCAGGGACCATGATGGCACCTGCTGCATAGGGAGGTCGTGCAAGGTCATGCAGGTGACATGGGTCATGTATGCAGGTGCCCGGCTCATGGGGGTGTTAACACCTGTCAGCTATTGCAGGATGCAGGGATGAGGCCCATCTGTAAAGTGGGCCCAAGTTGCCCTCTCTGTAGCAGCCCTTGGGGTGACAACAGCAGGAATATCAGTTCATAGGTTCGTGTACTTCCTATGCATGCTGGGCACCCTGTACTTGCACTTGCTCACTTAATCCTCACAGCCACCCTAAGGAGGGAGCTGTTTTCATCCCCATTTTACATCAGAGGAAACTGAGGCTCAGGGAGGTGAATCCAGGTGGAATGAGGGCAGGTGGGGCTCCAGGGTGCTCAGATTCCAGCCACTGTGCTCTGACCCAGTGCAGGGCCCTGGGTGGAGCTGGCACAGGTAAGTGCCCAGGTGACCCCCTTCCTGCCCTGCTGATGTCACCTGGGCCCAGGCCAGTGACTGGGCTGATCACTCTCCCAACCCTGTTCTCTGTCCCTTTTGGAGCTCCAGGGCCCCAGGCCTTCCTGTGGCATGGAGAGATTTGCCCACCATCCTGGCTGCCCTCCTCCAAGTTAAGGAATAAACATACTCTGTGTGGTCAATAGTGTCACTGTGTCTTGGTCAAGAATTGGCAACTCTCATGCTTTAGGGAAGTATACATTATATACATTTAACATAGAACATAAGCGTATGACAGTGATGGATAATAAATTTCATATTTATACATTTATCAAAATATGCAAAACCCACTTCCAAAATTGTATACCTGCAGACACACAGTTTAATAACTACTTGAGACTCCTCACCAGCACCATAATGTGAGCTTGGGCACTAAGTGGGACACACGACCTGCAGCCCAGACCTGCTAAGGAGGACTTGACTGTTGGTGTTGTGGGACCGATGACGACCTGACTGACCCATCACTGTCCTTCCCAGCCTTTCTGACACTCCTGGCTTCTCAGAGGGATGGGCTACATATCTGACCTTGTGGGAGGGACTTGGGAGAGACCCTGAAGACCATGGGGAGCAAAATCTCTATTTTACAGATGGAGAAACTGAGGTCCATTCACTCACTCAATCAGTCACCCAATAATTGCTGAGTGCCTACTGTGTGCCAGGCTTTGTTCTAGGCACTGGGGATGCATCCATGAACAAAAGCAAGTTCTCGCCCTCATGGGGCTGGCATACTGGGAGGAAAGACAGAAAAACTGATAGATGCTGGATGATGATGAACACCCAAGGAAACCAAATATGGGCAGGAGGAGTTAGTGATGGATCGGGGGAGGATGATGAGCATGTGAGGAAACCCAGCATGAGCAGGGGGAGAGAGTGATGGATGGAGGTGTTACCAAGCAATGGGCTTGCTGCTTGATGAGCACAGAAGCCAATACTATGGCACTGGCTTTTTAGAAAAGAAAAAAGCTTTGTTGTGAGTCAACTGGCAAGGAGACAGGAGGCAATGCTCAAGTTTGTCTCCCTGATCTGGGGGTGGGCCAAGCTTTTATGGCATTTCTAACTAGCCCCAGATGATGCCAATGCAGCCAATCTGCCAGGCTGGTGGTGTTAACAATCAGATTAAAGTTTTTTTCCCATTATACATGCCCAGACAATTTTTGGCTCTTTATCACCTATAACAAGACAATGGTTAATGGGTTTCAGCTGGTCCTGCTGTTCCAAGTCCCCCCTCCCTTTTTGTTGTACGTTCCTCACTCTTGAGAGAAATGGGGTGATGACCATTCTAGCTACTTCCCGCTTTCAAGGGGCACAGGTGTGGGTTTGAGGAATGAACAGGGGGTATCGAAATATGAGACAGCTCTGCACCATCTGTACCTTGACAAGAATGAAAAGAAATCTCAGCACACATAGAACTATAATTCCTAACATAAGCAGACTCTCAAAAATAGATCTTATTCCTGATGGCATTAATACAGGCCTGGTCTGGTATCTTGGGTAAGCTGTCTCCTTCAGTTACCATCTGCTTCTGGCCTCCCCATCTGATCAGGTGGAGTCTGGTTTTAGAAACAAGAATGACTTCTCATTATCGAGAGATCCAGGAGCTCTTTAAGTCCTATTTTTTTTTTTTCTGAAAAGTAACTTTAGGAGTTACTTTGTTAGGAGTTCGCAAGCGTATTCCTGCCTGGAGAAATCATCTGTAGGCCATGCCATCTGTAGGTCATAGCCATATGGTGTTTGGATGACTCAGCCATCCTGCTTCCTGTTTCCTGTTGTTTGTGATAAGTGTAGCCTGTGTGGAGATTATGAAGGGGGTGAGGAGAGTCTTGACTACTAACAGGTACTATCTTTACTTGTGAATGGTGAACACAGGGCTTAACTACTTTACGGATGGATGGGTCACCAGAAGAACTTCATTGAGTCCATTTCATTTGGGCTGTAATTGGTACTCAGTCTCCTGGGCTTAGACAGTGTAAAGAAACATCTGCAGGAAATGTTAAACAGCTAGAAGCATACTTATGTATAACAGATAAAGTTGCATGCAGAGACTGTACGTATTTTGTAGTACCTAATTCTTTTATAATATGACTATTTTTGGAATTATAAAAAAATTCACTTTTGAGGAAGGGCTCAATTGGGGCTTGCTTCTGGGGGCTAATCTTACACTAAGCAGGGCAATAGGCAAGACTTTATCCCAGGTTAAGTTGGTTTCATGATTTCCTTTCTTCCCCCTGAATTCAGAAAGCCTCTCCCTTCCAGGTGACTTCATGTGCATGCACTACCACAAAAGCATATTTGGAGTCAGTATAAATAGTTACCTTTTACTTTGTCCCAAGGTTGCAAGTTATGTGCAGAGGTAGCTGGTGGGAGAGCCTCAGTTTCTAAGACTTCCTGGAGAGTCACAATTACATATTCAGCTTTTTAGAGTCTTCAGTTCAAGAAGTTGCTCCCATCTATAAACATCTCCAGGTTTAGGTCTTCCAAAGGCTGATTAGTCAAATGAGGTCTGCTAGAATAAGCTTCAATTATTTGTATACAATCACGAACAGTTTCTTCTACAGTACTTGGAAGTATGGTGGCTAGGTTTAGTGTGAACACTACCTTAAAATTTATATTTGGGTTGTCTAGTAGACTAGCCTGGTATTTCCTTACTCTTGCAGATGTAAGGTAATATCCTGCTTTTTGTTCAAAGAGGGGCAGTACATAGTGCAGGGTGTGCTCTGTGGTAGGCTGGCCCAAAGTAGATTTTTCAGCTTCTTGTAAGAGACCACAGGTTACAGCTACTGCTCGAAGACAAACTGGCTACCCTTGGGTTAGTATGTTGTTTAGAAAAGTTTACACCAGCACTCTTGGTGTTATCTAAATTTTGTGTCAGTACTCAAAGACTTATACATTGCTGTTCATGTACCAAAAGATCAAATGGCTTTCTTATATTTGGGAGATGAAAGGACAGGGTTGTTAGGAGCCTTTCCTTTATGTTTCAGAATGTCCTATGACATTCTGTAGTCCAATTAAATGGCTCATTATCATTTTCTTTGGGGGCTTGATATAAGGGCTTTGGACTTCTTATAAGTCAAAAGTGGGGAATCCAGATACAACAGAACCTAGTAATTCCCAAGAACCCTCATAATTGTTTTCTGGTAGTGGGTAAAGCCACTCTAGCTAGGGCCTCCCTTCAATCTGGTAACAAGGTTCTTTGCCCTTTAGATAGCTCAAACACCAGATACTTTAATGTTGACTGTGTAATTTGTGCCTTTTTCTTAGGAACTTTGTATTCGTGGTCTGCCAGAAAATTTAGGGTCAGAATTGTGTTTTGATCTGAGGTTTCTTTAGTTTTACTGGAAATCAGGATATCATCTATATATTGGAGAAATATTCTCTCAAGTCCTTAGCTAAAGCTTCCCCAAAGATGGTGGGGGCATTTTTGAAATCTTGTAGAAGTACTGTCCAATATTGTTGTTTTACATTAATTTCTGGATCATCCCATTCAAAGGCAACAGTTTTTGGGAGTCAGAACTGAAGGGTGCATTTGATCAGTTGAAGGAAGGACTTGTGGGAGGTTTTGCCACATATAACAGTAATTGCCATAGTCTTTGGGGAGAAGGGTCCCTGTCTGATGTTTAGTACAGAATATGTAGCCCCAGTGTCAATTAAAAAGGGTATGAGTCTTTCCCACAGTGACTGTTACCAGAGGTTCCTTGTGCGAAGTGTTGATAGAGCTAACAGAGTCTATAGGAGCCCCTGGGTCCCATCATCTTTGGTTGCTATCAGCAAGCTGTGGTATCTAGTAGATTAATTTGTGGGAAGTTCCTTCCTCTCCCATCAGGGGAGGTTAGGGCATTCCCACTTGCAATATTCTTGTTTACAATATGTACACTGTTGTGACCCTAATGATGGATGGCTCTTCTGGCTAAGTGGTGGGGTCTGGTGGGGAAGGTCTTAACTGTGGTTGTGTTTACCCCAGCAAGCATCTTACTGGGTCTTGATTGATCACAGGTGAAAGCTACAGCAAACAGTGCAGCTTGTTTTGTGTCATACTGTTTCTGCTTTTCCTGGACTTGGTCATGGCTATTAGATACTTTAGAGACAGGCTTGTCCAACCCACCTGATTTTGTTTTGTTCTGTCTTGTTTTATTTTACACTTTTAGCAGCTTGAAGCCATGTTTTTAGTTTCTGTCTCTAGCAATAAGTGGAAAAGAGAGGTGAGGAAGGGGTTTTACTGGCCCACCCAGAAACAGAAAGAAAGAACCCATGACTGTATTCTCTCTCTTGGATACTCCTGTGAAGCAATGGACAGTGGAATCCCTAATTCCCCCTCTACTCTTTGTCAGGAGCACACTGACTGATAAAAGTAATATTAACCAGTCTCATGTTTTCCAGGTGTTCTGGTTCAATGTCAGCATACTGTCTGTAGGCTTCAAAAACCCACTCAAGAAAGGCAGAGGAATTTTCCTTTGGCCCCTCTTGTACCTCCTGGACCTTATTTAGGCCCTTCAGTTTTTGGACCTTCTTCTGTGTTCCAGTTATTAAACATTCTTTATAATGGTTTAACTTTGTCTGGTCTCTGGGGTCACTGGGGTTACAGCCTGGCTTGGCCCCAGGTTTGGCCTGCATTGCTGGGGCTCTGATTGGATTCTTAGGTTATAATTAATGAAGCCTCTTGGCATCCTGACAGTCCTTTTCCAGTATCATCCTATGTTCCTCCAGAGTAAGGAGGATGTTTGTAAACACCTGAATGCCAGCCTAAGTGGAGTTATAAGTAGCAAAGGTGAATGTAAATAAACTTTTCATCTTTTGGGGATCATCCCATTAGGCAGGCATATTATTTTTCCAATTGTATAAATCTGAAGTTGAAAAAGGGGAATGCTCATATATAACAATCCCCTTGTTCATTGAGGCCCACAGGGACTGGTCTTAGTGGGAATTGCCCTGCTAAGGGGGAACTGAGGGAGAGCATTCCCTATGCCAAATTGGGTAACCTGATGGGTATGTGGAAGGGAGACCCCTCCTACCTGATTGGTGGGTAAAGGGAGGCATAAAGCTGAGCCTCCAACTTTGGGGAGGGAGTCTTATGCTCTTTCTGATCGCCTTTAATAGCACCTGGCATACAGTAGAGGCATTGCGGGAGATTGCAGATGAAGAAGAACAAAGTCATACAAATATAACCCAAATGTTTCCTGCGCAATTCCAACATACGAAATAAGCCTACTATGTCTCTCCTGGACTTCCAGGGGCCCTAATATACAAAGAGTTAGTTTGAGGTTATAAAGATTGAATTTAGAATTTACAAATGTCAAAGGTTTAAAACTCTTGCTCAAAATAGGATCACAGATTTTGTCAAAGATTTCAAAATGACTCTTCGATAGAGAGCAGACTCAAGTTGCCAAATAATCAGAAGACCTAATAAAGGCATGAAGTATCAAAAGTACTACATGAGCAACAGTTTTATGAACTTAAACATTTATCAGAGACAACATAAACCTGTCTGACCAGAAGACTCAGGCAAAAATGTCTGAATTTAAGACATTTCTATTTTGTCAAGAATCTTAAATTTTTATTTATCTAAAATCATATGAATCTGAGAAGCATTTGTACTTATTTATGAATACTCCTTTATATATAAGCCAATTTGGTCCCATAGACAATATAGAGACATGTATAGACAGACACAAAGACCCTACAGCCTTGATTTTAAAACTCTAGCCATAAAACTGGCAAAACTTAACATTCTAAAAGGGCAGCTGGATTCAAATTATGCCTTTGAAAGTGGAACAAGTCAAACTCCACTTGTCCTACATGGCACAGCCCTCACTGAGCCCCAGAGGAAACAGAGTTGCAATCCACATCATAAAGTGGAGAAAGAGAGAGAGTTTAAACACCTTAAAGGAGGAGTTTGGGTGTGCTAGAGGAAGACCAAAGACCAAAAAATAGATGCCAAAGTAACAGAATCATAGGAACTCACTATAGGATTTTACAAGGAGACCAACTTCATTTATATAGGTAGCTTTTTATTTAGTCTATTTCTTCAATAGAACTAATGAGCTCAGGGCAGAGCCGCTCAGGGCAGAGCTGCTCAGGGCAGATCCCAACAGGGAACAGGGCCAACAAAGCACTTTCAGCTTTTAGGCCCTAACAATTTAAATATATGGAAGCAGCTCCCTGCAGCAACAACCATTTCAGCCACCTCCAAAGCTGCACAGTCTTATGCCAAAAATACAACCAAACCAAACTGAGTGCCTTAGTGGATAGAGCTTTAGAATTGCCTTTATTCTTTGGATCTCTAACCCAAAGCCAGGACTCTAACCTGACCAAGATCTTCCTGGGGTGGGACTCTAACCCACAACCTGACAAGGGTGGGACTCTAATCCACAATCCTGGACCAAAAGGATGGGACTGTGGCCCACAATCTTTATGATGAGAACAAATCAACGTAAAACATAAGCTCATATTAACAAGGCTGCTTACCCAAAAGATGTCTGATCCAAAAGCTGTTTCTTTTCTCAAAAGTGAAAGTAGCACCAAGGACCCTGGAGTGCCATGACAGAGAAGAAAGGACCTCACAGCCAAGCCTCTAGACAAATGCCTACACAGCTACTGAGGGTTGGTGAAGAGGGCCTGCACCCCATCGAGAGGGTACAGTGCTTTGGGTAGGTTTTGTCCCATCTGGGTCGCCAATATTGTTATTGAACAATTGGCTCACTACATGACACACACAGAAGCCAATACTATGGCACTAGCTTTTGAGAAAAGAAAAAAATATTGCATGTCAACTGTCAAGGAGATAGGCAGTGACACTCAAACCTGTCTCCCTGGTCTGGTGGGTGGGTCAAGTTTGATGGCATTTTTAACTAGTCCCAGGTGATGCCAGGCTGGTGGTGGTAACAATTAGGGTAAAGCTTTTTCCCATTATGCATGCCCAGGCAATTTTAGCTCTGTGACACCTGTAACAACTTAAGCAATTGTTAATCACTTTGAGCTGATTCTGCAGTTACAGGGGATGGTGATGAACATGTGAGGAAACCCAACATAGGCTGGAGGAGAAAATGATGGATGGGGATTAGCTCCTGAAGGGGATCACAGAAAACTTGGCTGAGCAGGTGATGTTGAGCAGGACTGAAGGCAGTGAGAGTGGGGCCTCACTGGCACCTGGGGACAATATGTGCAAAGGCTTGGCAGGGGAACTGATCTGCCCAGAGAGGATGTCCTTCCAACCACTTACATCTATGCCTCTTGGTCACATGTGGGCCCCATGCTGAGGGCCAGGGAAGGAAAGAGAAGCAAGGAGGGAGGGTCCCTGTTTTCTCAGCTTCATCAGGGAGACAGGGTTAGATACACGATGATGTTGCACAGTGGTCAGGGTGCCGACGGGGCTATTGCAGTAACAGAGAGACATGGAGGCAGTGTAAGTGGACCCAGATTGGCCTGGTTCACTTCTTGCTCTGATGCTTCCTTCTTCAGCTCCCAGAGCCTCTGTACCAGACTCCTGGTCTGGATGATCTTGGAGTCGTCTTTCCAGGCCAAGTAAGATGGATAGTTAGGTGGATGGAAGGGCAGAAGGACAGGCAGGCCTGGATCCTGGTCTCTTCTCAAGCCCCTCAGTCCCCCTGGCCTCACACTGCCTGGGTTTCTCTGAGCGCAAGATGTTCATAGCCTATTTTCAAGAGTCTGTGATGCAAATGTTCTAAGTGTCCAACATCGTCCCATTCTAACATCCAATTGTATTCTTGTTTTGTGAAACTCACTTTGATTTTGGCTATTTTAGTATCTTTATATCCTGTATTTTGAATCTTTGAATATTATAACATTTTGTTATTCAAATTTGTTTCAACATCCTCTGAGTCCCCCTTGGTGAATGCAGCCTTCTGTGACCCTGTGAAGTGCACACTCTCACCCACTGCTGGTGTAGACATTGAGTTCCCCCAACCTCAGTCTCCCCGAGGCTTCCAGGTACTTCCCCAATGCTATCCTTTAAATCATGTCCAGTAAACCATCCATGGTCCACTCTGGGGCCCACTTCAGACTTTCTGAATTTGTTGCCGTCACACAATATTCTTAGTCATGACCATGGCAATTAGAATGACTATGCTGGGTCATCAACTTTTGCTGGATTTAGTACTGATGGTGAGTCAGAGCCTTGCCCAATGAGTAGGCCGTCGGTCACCCTGGCTGTGCCTGACAGGTGTCCACTTGGTGGACAGCACTTGCCACAGTTATGCAGTGACTCATCCCAGGCTCCTGTAAACACCCAAGGAGTTTACCTTGCCCACTGCATAGACAGAGCCGATTCATCAAGGCAGGGGAATTGCAATAGAGAAAGAGTAATTCAACCAGAGCCAGCTGTGCAGGAGACCAGAGTTTTGTTATTACTCAAATCAGTCTCCCCTGAGCATTTGGAGTTTTTAAGGATAACTTGGTGGGTGGAAGGAAGCCAGTGAGCCAGGAGTGCTGATTGGTCAGGGGTGAAATCACAGGGAGGGGAAGCTGTCCTTCTGCACTGAGTCAGTTCCTGGGCGGGGGCCACAAGTTCAGATGAGCCAGTTTATTGATCTGGGTGGTGCCAGCTGATCCATCAAGTGCAGGGTCTGCAAAATATCTCAAGCACTGATCTTAGGAGCAGTTTAGGGAAGGTCAGAATCTTGTAGCTTCCAGCTGCATGACTCCTAAACCATAATTTCTAATCTTGTGGCTAAGGTTAGTCCTACACAGGCAATCTAGTCCCCAGGCAAGAAGGGGGTCTCCATGGGAAAGGGCTGTTATTGTCTTTGTTTTAAACTATAAACTATAAACTAAGTTTCTCCCAAAGTTAGTTCTGCCTACGCCTGGGAATGAACAAGGACAGCTTGGAGGTTAGAAGCAAGATGGAGTCGATTAAGTGAGAACTCGTTCACTGTCTCAGTCTTAATTTTGCAAAGGTGGTTTCACTCCCACAGGCAGAGGATGCAGCCTCTCTCAAGCAGTGCTGGCCTGTGCCACCTGGGCCCTGCAGGGAGCCCACCCAGGCTGTTTGGGTTCCTGGCTTTCCCTCCATTTCCTACCCAGAGCTTTCATGTTCTCTCTCTTCTCTGCTCTCAGGACAGCATCAGACCTTTTATCTTTGCAGGCCTCTCCTCAAGATTTTAGATTCTGATTCCAAACCCCAGTGGAGGAGGCCCAGTCTTCGTTAATGATCCCTGAGTCCCAGGCATAGTGTGACCTAATGGTTAGATCACAGGCTTTGGCTAACCCTGGTCTCTTCCACTTCCCTGCTGAGACTTCAGGAAGGTTACTTAACCTCTCTGAGCTCAGTCTCCTCAGTGTGAGTTGAAGATAATAATAGCATCTACCTTGTGGGGTGGATTAAGTGTAGCAACACCGGTAACAAGCTCAGCGAGGATTCTGTTATTGTTGCTATCCTGATGTGTCACAGCTGGTGATTTCTCTGCCCCGAGAGCATTCAGGTGGCCCCTCTAGGCTTCTCGCCACTGGAGCAGTGGGAAGAAAATGGGCCCCGGAGCCCACAGACTCAGGTTCAGGTTCAGCCTCCAGCACTCACTCAATGTGTGTCTTGGGCAAGTGGCTTAACCTTTGTGAGCCCCATTGGTTTTTCCCTCTGTAAATTGGCAAGCTAATACTGAGCACATAGGGTTATTGTGAGGACTTCATGAAGGTACATCAGATGGAGGCAGATTCCTGGGCTCAAACGACACTTTCGAGGCATACTTGGGGGTGGGACTCTGAACAAAACAGAGTTTTGTTCTGTTCCTCGCTGTTCCTCGCATCCTTATCTGTAACATGGAGACTGGGAGTCTCTGCTTCATAGGATGCTGTGGGGACTCCAGGACCTAAGAGAGCCCTCAATGCATGTTAACTGGCATTGTAACTTTCATCATCATCATTATTGTTGTTATTATTACTCTGTTTGCAGGCAAGCACCCCATCTTATCTTCCTGCATCAAGCCTCTGGCACAGGGTCTGGGCATAGTAAAGACTTGACACTCACCGGAGCAGGAAGAGAAGGGACCTGGGAGCAGACTGCCTGGGTTCAAGGTCTAGCTCCACCACTTCTGAGCTGTGTGGCCATGGACAAGTTTCTAAACCTTTCTGAACTTCAGCATCTTCATCTGTAAAATAGGCGAGAGGAGTGGATAACAATAGGACCTCCTTCATGGAGTTGTTGAAATAACTAAGTGAACTAATGCATGAAAAGTACTTAGCACAGTGCCTGGCACACAGTAAGTGCCAAGCCAGTGCTAGCTTTGATTCTTCCTGGCCCCAAAGGAATGTTGGCACTGAGGGGCTTCTAAAGATCTCCTTTTCAGCCACTACTCTGCTTTGAGATGAAGAAACTGAGGCCAAAAGACATTAAATTAAACGTTTGGCAATAAGACAGTATATGGCTGTGCTAAATTATGCAGGGCAGACAATTAGAGAACAAAATGATCTGTAATAAAGGGCTAATTGGGCGGGACAGATGCTAAGTGGACCAGGAGACTGAGATGAAGGAGAGAAAAATGCAGCCTGGAACGAGGATGGCCTCGGCCAGGGCCCAGGTGTTCTTGTTAATGACATTGATGTTTCCTCCTAACACAGCCATGCATCCTTACTGTGAAGCATTTGGCAAGTGAAGGCATTTATATAAGAGAGTATATAACTCATCTTGTGTCTTGTCTTTCAAAGATAGTAGTTTTTCCTGATTAATATCTTTCTTCATTTATTTGTCTCTTCATATACAAGTATATATTTTCATAATTGCTTTCCCATTGGCATGGCTGTCAGGATAGACTAGGATATGATTAAAAAAACAAGCAACCCCCCAAAATAACAAAGATTGTTTCTTGCTCTTGCTACATGTCCTCAGTGGTCTGCAGGGAGGGCGTGGTCATCACAGACAGCAGGGACTGTCACCGATGGAGGCTCCACTGTCTGAGGATGTCAACGTCTCCACATGTACTTCTAAAGTCACCGTGACAGGGAAGGAGGACAGGGGGAGCTGAGCGCTGACTCAAATGCTCTCACCTGGAAGGGACACTCACTGCCTCTATTCATACTTCATTGTCCAGTGCAAGTCTTATGGCCACCCTGACGTGAAGGCCGCGGGAGATACCGTTCTCCTCCGGGTCCAGATAAAGAAGTGGATACTGGTGGACCCAGCTGTGTCCTTCCATGTGCAGATACAGATCTGAGGCTTTCCTACCTGACACTCCAGGCCGATCAGTTTCCCATTGCATTGTATATTCTTGGAAATTGTCCATGTGATTAGTAATCTATAATTTATTTAACAATCTCCTATGTATATAATTTGGATGGTTATATTTTTTACTGTCATAACACTGCAATAAATATTTTCATTCTTCAGCCTTCTAAATTTCTATTTTGTTAGAATAGCCTCCTATAAGAGATGTTGGTAAAATAGTATGAATTTATAGAAATTACACGTGGCTAAGACTTAGGGAGTGAATAGTCTTCCTGGTAAATGGGAGGTTGTGAATGATCAGATCACTTGCTCTCCTTACCAGCACTGTCACTGGGTCAGCAGGAAGGTCTCTCACAGCAGCTCTGCTGGCCAAGGAGGGGAGCGCCTGGGCTATGGGCTCAGGACCTTCACTGTCCATGCACTGGCAGTAACTCAGCTGGGCCAGTTGGCTCTCAAGCCTGAGTCCACCCCTGTAGGATGAGGGCCATGATGCTCTCTGTCCGATTCACTCTTCAGGAAACAGGATCTGCGAGGGGCCTGGTAAAGTGCAGACCTTGTCGGGGTTACCAGTTGCTAGAACCATCCTTATCCAGGTGGGAGGCAGTGGGTGGTGTCACATGGCCAAGCAGAGGCGGGGCCAGTGGAACCCCCCTGTCTTGCCCAGGCTCTCCTTCCTCATGTGGCTTTGTGCACCTTATGGCATCTCAGAGATATGTGGAGGGAGTTGGGCACCTCTCAAGGGTGGAGGAAGGGGTGGCACCAAATTCCCAGATGACCATCAAATCAGGATGAAAGTTGTGAAAGTTATCTGTGCAAAAATGCTAGGCTGAAAATAAAAGCAAGAAAAGCCTCTGTCTCCTGTCCTGAGAGAGATTGTGTGGGAACAGCCAGTGCCTAGGGGGCAAGAGAGGCTGAGCAGGGAAGTGAGCAGTGAAGAGTCAGTGTGGGCAGAGTCACTGACCTTGGTCTCCCACCCAGGGCATTTGGGGCAAGTTTGGCCCCACCTCCTGCATGGCCAAGACCTACATCTCTGGATGGAAGTTCCACATCCCACAGCTGAATGGAGAGCTCTGATCCTGTCTGGCTTCACACTAAATGATCTCTGAGTTTTCTACTGGTGTCAGTCCCATTTTCCTGGGCAGGGGTTGTGGGGCTGAAGGCCTCAGGGCTGGATGGAGAAAAGGGAAAAAAAATGCTATCACAGGAGATGATGAGGCTGGTCTATTAGTAAGTGGATGGAACCAAGTCCTAGTGAAGAATTTGCTTAAATGACTTGTTCACAGCATCTCCCTGTAATCGCTCTCATGCTCCATGGACACTTTTCTTATCTCCATCCACCCCCGTACCCCCACAATGCTTTAGTCTTTTTTACCACTTTTTTGCTTAACAACAAGACAACACTGTTTGCCACATCATCTTCATAAAGATCCTCCAAGAGAAACGCAGCAGTGCTGACTGTGGAACCAATGAAACCGTTTTGTAAATTACTGAAAGTGAGGAGAAATTAGAGCAGCATTTATGTCTACTGCAGCTGGAGATGGAGAGAAAGGTGGTCTGGGTGGGGTTGAGGCTGTGGGTGGAGAGTCTTCCTTAGTCATAGTAGTGGAGGCAGCATGGACAGTGGAGAGAGTCCTGCACTGGGGGCCCAGGGCCTGGAGTCAGGGTTCTGCTGGGTACTGAGCTTTGAAGAACCCCTGGGCCTCCACCTAGAACCCTCTGAATGTGCACATAGGTGTGTAGATATATGCAGTGCGTACACAGACACATGCAGCCACACACAGATTTACACAGACACACAAAACACACACATAGATCCACATAAACATCCCCCATGCACATGCAGACACAATGACAAACATTGCGTGCACACACATGCACACTGGAATGCATGTGCATGAATTCACATTACAGGCAGACACATGTCCACTTGGCCAAGGTCAGAGACAGAGGTAGATTTTGAAGCCTGATCTGCAGGAGAGGTGAGCCTGTCAGGCAGAGGGGAGTGGGGGGCTGTGAGTGTCAGCACCCTCCCTCCCACCCATGGGGTGGATCTGAGTACCTGGACAGTGCTGCCATTCCCACCCTCTCAGGAGTCAGGAATGCATTCTGCTCTCTCAGCCCTGAGGAGTCCCCTGCCCTGAGTCCCCACTCCTGCTCTTCCCCTGACTGCCCTGAGCTAACAGGCACAGATACTGCCCTCTCTGGCTCCTTGGCCAAGAGTAAAGTGCTCTACGCATGTGACAATATGCAGCAAGTGCACAACTGTGCCAGGCAGGACTTGGCCCTGGTGACGGGTACAGATTTGTCAGGCTAAGGATTTGCCAGGGCACCAGAGAGTCAGCAGCCAAACAAGGATATGACCCACCTATTAGGTAATTTTCTGCTGCCCTTGACCTAAGGATGTGTGATTTCAAGGGAGGAGGAAGCGTCATTCCGATGAGAGCGGAGAGGCAGGAAAAACACGCTGTAGAGAGAATAAAACAGGTGCATGGAGAGAAGTGGAGATGAGCTGCAGGGTGGGGTGGGCAGGTGAGTGGCTGTCTGGGGTCCCAGCTGGCATTCCAGGCCCTGGTTCCAGGCTCCGGTAGGCTGGTCTTCTGTAAGTTCCATTAGAAACTTCCCCTCTTCCCTGCCCTCCTCCAGCCTAGTACAATACCCCTCCACACACAATTTTTCTTTGCCTAAGCTAGAATGAATGGTTTTTCTGTTACTTGCAAAGAGCCCTGACTCAGACACCAGGCAAACCTATTTATTTTTAAAACTCCTTAAAAAAAAAGCATCATTTCCAACAATGAATGTATTTTGCTCAGAGAGGCCTTGTCAAATAAGAGGAATGAGGCATTTGCAAACCTACATGAAAATTAAACCCACAATCTGGGTACACACTTGTTTGACAAGTGATAATTAACTGTTGACAATATAATTCAGTTTGAATGCAAGTGTGTTTTTCATTAAAAAGTAATCAAAGAAGAAGATATATGAATGGCCAATAAATCAAGAGAACATGCTCAACATCATTAGTCATCAAATAAATGCAAATTAAAGCTACAATGAGATGCCATTCTACACCCACCAGACTGGCTAAAATTAAAAAGACTGAAAATAACAAGTATTGGTGAGAATGTGGAAGAACTAACTCCTCATACATTGCTGGTGGGAATATAAAATGTTAGACTGCAGAAAACAGTCTGGCATTTTTTTTTTTTTAAAGTTAACATGCATCTACCATGATCCGGCCACTCTGCTCCATAGGTGTTTATCCAAGACTCTATGCTTGACTGTGGCACTCAGCTCTCCCGCTAAAAAGATTTTCAGAATAGGTGCTGAGTGTCCACCGCTCCCTGCTGGGACTGGACGTAGGCTCTGGAAAGAACGCTGGGATTATAGGTCTCTGTGCCTTCTGTGTGTCTCACAGACCAAGTGCAGTCCTTAGCAGGTGGATCAGCTAGTCTACCTCTTGCTAAGGGACCAGCTTCCTCCTCTGGGCATGCTCGGGCCTGAATGTGCCCGCAGCCAACTGGCAGGGCACCAGCATTGACTCCAACTCAGGGAAGGAGATGGGTGTCTCATCTCTCCAGCCCCTACCATACCACAGGTCCTGCAGGTGTCATATCCTATTCCTCATTTTACAGAGGAGAAAATGGAGGCTTAGAGACATGCACTCACCCGTTCAAGGCCACACAGCTGGTGAGGGACCAAATGGAGAGAGAGGTGAACTCTGACTTGCCTGACTCTCAAGTCTGGGCACACACGCTGCCACTTCCCCTTCCTTTAATCCATTCAACTCCTCTGTGTCTCAGTTTTCTCATCTGTAAAATGGGGATAAAAATGATACTTGCCTCACAGGTTTGTTATGAAGACTAAATAAATTAACGCACAGAGCAGTGCCTCGTACATAGAAATGTCTCAATTAATATTTGCTGTGACACTTATTAATTAGTTCAGATAATAAATAATATCATTATACCACCTTTATTCCTTCCCTCTACGGGGCTAATTGGCTTTTCCCCCTTAATCATCTCTGTATCCCTCTCTGGACTTTGTCCTGGAAAGGGACCCTGTGACATTGAGAATAGGGTGGGCATGTGTTTCCTAGCCTATGCAGGTTAGACTCTCAGACAGACATCTGAGAAACCAATAGCCGAAACTGCCAACCACTTAAAAGAAGAATCTAACAGTGTGAAAAGGGCTTTAAATGCCCGTGTTTAATTGCGTACAAGGAGTTTGATCTCATTTCATAGGAGCCACTTCTATTTCTCTTTCCTTTCTGGAAATTCTTCTTCTAAGAGCAATTTGTGATGATCAGGGACAATTTGAAGAATGTGGCAAACTTGAGAAGGGGAGTCCCGCCTCCCTCTGGGGCTGCGCTTCTCCAGCTCTCCCTCTCTTCTGGAAGCAGCAGAAACCCCCAGGTCATAAAGGCAGGCTGGATGCATGGCGTTCCCCCTGCGGGATGGACAGCAGGGATGCATCCAGTCTGTGATCAAGGGACCTGCGTTCTGCGGGCAGCCTCTGTGGGACTGGGTCCCTGTTGTCCCTGGAGTGGAAGAGTTGGGCTCTGAGATCACTCCGCAAGCTGAACTCTTGTCAAAGCTGGCCCCCTGTTGGGGTCAGTGTGGACACTCAGGCACATCTTATTTCCTCAGAGCAAAGCTCCTGGCCCCTCATTCAGAGCCTGGCGATAGGTACTTTATCACAGTCCAAACGGCTTTTCTCACCTCTCTAGGCTCACAGCTGCTAGAGGCATCAGACAGAAGTGGGAGAGGGGCCGAGTGAGGCAGATACCGAGGGAGTAAACTGGGTGGACGGATGGGCCGGGAGTGAGGCAGGATCTGGACAACCACGAGCAGACGGAGGAGCATTTGGTGAGTGGCCATGTGTCTTTCAAACCATATTGTGTTTATAAAGGCAGTTTACAAAACACACAGTATGTGATAGGGTTAATTTGTTCTTCCAACCAATGCCTACTGAGCACCTATTACGTGCCAGGCCCCATGCCGGTGCTGTGATGCACCGAGAAGCGAGACTCGGTCCCTACCCTCAGTTTGGGGAGGGGGCACACGTCAAGAAAAGACCCCGTTGCCACCCCACAATGAAGGATGTGCCCTTGCGGTGGGGACATGGTGGGGGTGTCTGTGTGACTAACGCTGACTCTGTTCCAGGCCTGCAGTCAGATCTCCTAATGTCCTAGTGAGTTTGGGGATTTAGGGAATCATCCTCGTTTAACAGGGAAAGTGACCAAGGCTCAGATGGGGAAATACTTGTCTGATCTTCTGGACCCAGGTTTTCCGAGTTCTCAACCCGATCATTGGCCTCAGTCAGCAACACTCGGCCTCGGGGTCTCACAGGACGATCGCAGCCACAGCCTCAACCCATCCTCATTCCTGGGCCACGCTGCCAACTTTCTCATACTGACATTAATTACACTTCCTGGAGGTTAATTTGTAAGGAGACAGTAAAAATGTGTTGTTTAAATAGTGATTACTAAAATCATCCTGGGGTTTTGCTACATAATAGGTAATTATCTGTAACATAATTGGGAAAACAACGCAGTCAATTCCGTTTAGCTCTTTCCACAGAACACAGAGTTAATCCTGGGGAGCATACTCAGCATACTCAAAAAAAAAAAGAAAGCTCAGTGTGACTGCTGGGGTGGGGAAAGGATTGGAGGGGCCTGGCATACTCAGTGTGATATTTGCTCAAGCATACTCTTATTACATCTGAATTGAAGTCACTTTAGGAACCTTCGGTGGGAGGAAAACATGCTGATTGGCTAAGACCTGGGTCCCAGATGTCTGAGTGGAGACGCTTTCCTCCAAAGTGGGAGTTTTCTGCTCCACGAATGACACTGCCTCATGTCCAGCAAGAACACATTGAAACATTTGTCCACGTAGGCCTTAGGCATTTGCACAATTACTCTTTCGCTTATTGTTTTTTTATACCCATTCATTTGGCTCTTTGGTATTTTTCATTTGTTCATTTTTTCTTTCATTCATTTTACTCATACAGCCATCATGCGTGAATGTATTCCTTGATGCACACCTTGGTTTATTTGTTTCTGCTTCCATTGATTGTTCTTTCATTTTGTCACTGCATTCATTCATGGATTCATGGTTCCTCGGTCCATTCATTTATTCAATGCTTCATGCAGTTGTCAATTTGTTCATTCGTTCATCATTCAACAATGAATGATTTGATCATATACAGTGTGTTGGGTGTGTCTGTCAGGTGTGAGTGCAGCCAGGCCCACTGGCATATTCTGGGCATTTCACTAAAAAGGGCCCTGGGGCTTATCTTTTTTTTTTTTTAAAGCAAACCTCTTAGTGTAGCCTAATGAAATGTGAGACTTACACAGAAGAGAGTACACAAATGGTAAGCGTATGGCTAAAGAACTCTCTGAAACTAAATACACCTATGGGACCAGTGCAGATCGAGAAAGAGAATGTTACCAGGACTCCAGGAGTCCCCTCACACCCCTGCTTGTCACTCTTCCTCTAGGTCAGGACAGGTGAGAAGCGCCCTGCCTTCTAACCCTGCGTATCATCTGTGCCTGTTCCAGAACTTCATGCAAATGCACTCACACTGTCCGGTGCTCCTATGTGTCTCATTTCCACTTTGCTCAACATCATGTGTATGTTTTATCCAGGTCAGCGTGTTAAGTTGGACACTGTTGATTCTTATTGATGTGTGATGTTTGTATGTTGTATGAATATGCAGCTATTTGTTTACCCATCTAACTCTAGATGAGATCTGAGTACTTTCCAGTTTAGGGCTGTTAGGAACAGGGCTGCTATGAAGTTCTTGCAAGTGCTTTTTGGTGAACATATGGGTGAATTTCTGCTGGGCAGATACGAGTGGAATTTCTGAGTCATCAATTACACACAGGTTCAGCATCAAGAGAGACTGCCGAACAGTTGTGCAAAGTGGTGCCTCCAATTTAGACTCCCACCAGCAGTGTATGAGGCTTTGCCCACCGACTTGTCCCTGAGCAACCTGCCCTCCCATGACCTTACCTCATCCTTGGGCTGCCTCAGGTCTCCTGGCCCTGCTGCTCAGTTTGCCCTCCCAGTCTTTGTCCTTCCCTGGGTCTTTGGTGCAGGACTCTCTGCGCCTGGGTCCTGCTGTTGGCTCCTTCCAGGCCTGGTCCTGGAGACACATTCTCAAGCCACTCTGGGTGGCATCATCTGGGCCTGGTGTTGCCTGGCTGCCTTCCCCACACTGGGGCCTTCCTTGCTGGAAGGGACCCCCTTGCATCCTGACCAGCCTTCTGGGGGTCCACGGATCAGGTGCTCTACTGAGCACTGGGGGTCTTTGTTAAACCAAGTATGGGTCCTGCCCTTGCGGCGTTCATAGACCAGTGTGGAGATAGAGCCTGGGCTTATCTTCCTATGCTTCAAAGGTGGGCAGTTGAGTCTAAAAGGAAGAGAGGGACAGAAAACTTCATGTAGAGAGAATGCTAGACCTTGGCATGTGATTTACTGGAGGGATAATGTCATGGGACAGAAGGTGCAAGAACTTTAGAGTTGATTGGTCCTGGGCTCAAATTCCAGTTGCTCCACGCCCAGCTGTGTGATGGAAGATGCTAGCACCAATCTTGGTGGCACTGGCAGTGTGTCCAGGAGATGCCCAGCAGGCTGTGGGAAATGCAGAGACTGGGGGAAAGGGCCCTGGAGTTAGCGCTGGTAGATCTGGCTTCACCTCCGGACCCTCCCTGGAGGCTGTCGCCAGCAGAAACCCCCTCTCGTGCTGTTTTCTTTCTCTGACTCACAGTGTGACCTTGGGCAGGTCCTGCCCCCTCTCAGAGTCTCAGCTGTCACATTTGTGAAATGGAGATAATTCACCTCCTGGGACTATGAGGACTGAGACGATGGAGGTGATGGTGTCTAAGCAACTCTGCGGCCTCATTCATCTGGGGCAGTCACGGCGTTCTCACCTCAGATGATGTTTCCTCTCACTCTTGTTATCCTTCCCTCCTCCTTCCCACGCTGTGCTCATTTGCCTTCTTTCATCCTAGTTTTAATTTCACTTATTATAATTTTATATTAGAAGAATCATCAGAGACCAGCTAGCCCCTCATTTTACACATTGGGGAAACTGAGGCACAAAGAGAGAAAGTAATGGCCTCAAGATCACGCAGCCAGCTGCAGTTCAGCTCCTAGCTCCACACAGGAGCTCCAGCCCCAGAAGGATGAATATCCTCACTTTGATGTGGCGCCTACTCTCTACACTCCAGGAAGATGTCCAACCTTGTCTAGGAATTTCCTGGCTGATACTTGCAACAAGAGCAAAGCCCAACAAGTGTGAAGTCAGTCTTTGAAAAGCTGGAGGCTAATTTGTCCTGGAGCTGTATCTTCTCTTTAGATCCCAACAGTAGCTACGTTTTCTGATCTAAGTGGCTGTCAGTTTCATTCCAAATAAGGTGCGCTTGATCTGCTGCCTGTGTGAATATTGTTTGCTATTACATCTAGTTTAAAAATCCCATTGAAAAAGTTGATTACAGAAGAAAGGGTTTGATTTGGGAAAATTCAAGTGTGTGTGTGTGTGTGTGTGTGTGTGTGCGCGCGCGCGCACGCGTGCGCGCGCATGTCTCCCAACATTTATTTAATTTTTAAACCAAGAGCAAATCATCTTTAAAGGCTACCTTCCTCTTAAAAATAATCCAGATAGGCCAGGCACGGTGGCTCATGCCTGTAATCCCAGGACTTTGGGAGGCCGAGGTGGGTGGATCACCTGAAGTCTGGAATTCGAGACCAGCCTGACCAACATGGAGAAACCCCGTCTCTACTAAAAATACAAAAAATTAGCCTGGTGTGGTGGTGCATGCCTGTAATCCCAGCTATTTGGGAGGCTGAGGTAAAACAATCGCTTGAATCCGGGAGGCGGAGGTTGTGGTGAGTCGAGATAGCGACATTGCACTCCAGCCTGGGCAACAAGAGAGAAACTCCGTCTCAAAAACAAACAAACAAACAAACAAAACTCCAGATAGCTGTCACTCAGGTACATGTGGAACCTGTGAAATGTGAGTGTTTTATCACTTAACTAAGCCTTTCTCCACTGCTGTGAAGACCTTGTGAAGACTCTCCCCCTGCGCTGCACCACTGGCAATTTCTCTTTGCAGCCTGAGGTTTGTTTTTGTTTTTCTTTGCAATTCCCTCTGAGAGTCTGGATGGAGCTACTGAACTCAGAGAAATGAGGCCAGGTAGCTTCAGGATTTGGCTTCAGAGTTATCAATACCTTCAACTAACTGATAATAATAACAGCTGTTATTTCTACAGGGCCTATTGTGTGCCAGGCACAGTGCTAGATGCTTTTTTGTTTGTCTAACTATTATTCATTATCTACGACCCTCACCACAACCCTGGAAAATACATGTTTGTCTTAGCTCCTGCTCTGATTTGATCTATCCACTGCCTGGATGGTTGCAGGGGCTGCCCAACCATCTGCCTGATTCCACTCTCACCCGCTGTGGTCTCCTCTCTACTGAGCAGCAGGAGGGAGCCTTTTAGAATGCCCATGCAACCACTTCCTTCCTTGCTCACACCCTCCATGGCTCCCATCTTCTCCAGGTTAAAGCCAGAGTCCTTCACTGGTCCCCAAGACCCTGTGACCTTTCTGGCCTCACCTCCCTAGCACCTGTCACTCTGCTGTCTAGGATGTCCTCCCTAGATGTTCTCATGGCTCACACCTCTTATGATCAAGTTGACCTCTAGAGGTTAGAGTTAGGCTTGGGTGATATTTAAGAATCTGGTTAGGTTTTTTTTTTTTTTTGAGTTGGTGTCTTGCTCTATTGCCCAGGCTGGAGTGCAGTGGCGTGATCTCGGCTCACTGCAAGCTCCGCCTCCCGGGTTCACACCATTCTCCTGCCTCAGCCTCCAGAGTAGCTGGGACTACAGGCACCTGACACCATGCCTGGCTAATTTTTTGTATTTATCAATATCTTCAACTAACTGGTAATAATAACAGCTGTTATTTCTAGTATTTTTAGTAGAGACGGGGTTTCACTGTGTTAGCCAGGATGGTCTCGATCTCCTGACCTCGTGATCCACCTGCCTCGGCCTCCCAAAGTGCTGGGATTACAGGCGTGTGGCACCATGCCCAGCGATTCTGGTTAGGTTTAAGGGCAATGCTCCTGCAACATTTCCTACAAAGCCCGCCTAGGGAAGGAGGTAGTGAATGCTCTCTGGGCATCTGAGGGCATGGGCAGAAACAAGCTAGCACAGCACAGAACATTTTAAGGACCGATCATTTATCTTAGAAAAAAGTCATGTTAATTCTTATTCCGTTCCATAATATTTGCTTGGATTAAAAAAAAAACCCTCCTACCAAATCGTTGAGTGATGTTGATGTTTAGGAAGATTGGCTCATGGTTCAAAGAGGTGCTGTGCCTGGGATACCACCAACTGGAGCAGCAGAGATCTAGGGGTAGGTGAGGTAGGATGAGGCTGAAACTAGAGGTGGCACAGAGGGCCTTTGACAGGTGACCAGCTCCTGTCAGGATCACTGGCTTTGGTGCAAACAGGAGCCTTGCATAGGCTCATTTTAGCCTCAATTTCCTCATCTTTAAAAGGGAGCTTACAATGGGGATTACTCCCAGAGCTGTTGTGAAGAGTCAGTGGAATGATGTGTGCACAGCGGCCAGCACACAGCGCAGCTCAGTTAATGCAGCATCATTGCTGTTCAGTCACCAAAGCAGAAGTGAGGTTTGCAATCAACTGTGTCTGCCTGTAAACAACCCCGTCATTCCACAGCAAGCTCCCCGACTTCTTCCAACAACTCTGAACGCAGTGGAAACAGGGCTGGACTTGTCTGGAGGGAATTTTGGTCATTGAGCAAGCAGGGTGGGTACACAATGGGTGCTGAACCTCCTTCTGCTTCTGGTTTGGACAGGGGAAGGCATTGAATCAGCATGACCTGGAAGCCTGTTCCTGGGAGGGAGGGTAGTGGGTGCTGGCTGGCATCACTCATGGATGGCAGTGGCTCTAAATGCCCATGGAGAGAGAGACCTGGGAAAATCCACTGGCAAGGCACCAAAGAAAATTAGCCTTTGGGTCATCTGTGGCCCTTGGGCCAGGAGTCACTGAACTCTAGTTCATCGATCAGATGTGTCTGGGACATTGAGCATCTTCTTTCTCTTGAGATTATGTGACTCCTTGATTAACAGTAACAGTCATCATTGTTGAGTATCTTTTTCATTTATGTTAGTGAATATCTATGAGTCCCCACTGGGTGCTGGGTGCTGGGATGACAATGGTGAACCCCACAAATGACCAAGACGGGCCCCCTGCCCTATCACTGTAATTGCTGTCACTGTTATCATGCGAGAGCTTCCTGTCCATACTCTCACTTTCCTGTTGCTTGGTTTCAGGCTCTCTTTTCTCCCCTCATCATCTGCTGGCCCTTGGTCTTTTCATATGCTTGGAGCTGCAGCTGGGGCTGGAGGTGTCGGGGAGAGAAACAGGCACTTGGAGGATGTGTCCCAGAGCCAGGTAGGGATCTTCTTCCTGTTCCTTCCTGTAAGAAATGACAATTAACTCAAATTAATTCAAGCTCAGCCCATACCTGAGGAAGAAACATAAGCTGGTTAGATTCGTTTTCTCGGTCAGCTTCTCAAGCCTGGTATTAATCTGCTCATCAGCTGAGCTCATCAGGAGCAAACACGCTTCTTCAGGAGTTTTCTAACAGGAAAGAAATGCCTCATTAAGTTAAACATATTAACCTGAGAACGGTACTGATGTCAGACAGACTAATGAACGTCATTATAGGGAATGCGCCGCAGTCCTCAGAGGGGCCCCACCCAGCGTCGGGGGACTCCCACAGATTGGCTCAGCTACTGCAGGGTGTGGGATCATCAGAGGAGGGAGGGAGACGGAAAAGGGGCTGTTGCTGGAGCTGTGGTCATGGTCAGCCCTGTGAGCCGTGCCCTGATTAATTCTGGCATCTTTGAATGTCTGCAAAGGGCGTGTGGCCAAAGGAGGAGCCCTGTGTGCCTCACTGTTGGGTCCAAGGGGGTTGGGAGGAAGCTGAGTGCAGCCTCTGAAACAGGAGGGAGGGCAGGAAGGCCGAGTTGGGCATCAGAACCCCGGGTTCTGGTTCCAGGCCTTCTCCACCTAGTGCAGGAGGCTCAGTTCCAGCCCCTCTCCAGCAGGCCGAGCTCTGCGCTGAGCACTTCCAGAAGCATTGAGCTCAGCTACCCTCGCAGAAACCCAGGCAGACAGGGGTTTATGGCCTGGGGTTGTGGATGAGGAAACTGAGGCTCAGAGGAGTTAAGTGACTTGTCCAAGGTCACCCAGCTTGTGGGTGGGAGAGAGACAGGCCCAGGCTGGCCGAACCCTGGTGCATGTTCCCCAGCAAGGCCCCGCTGCCTGCTTCCTGGTGCTCTGTCTTCCAACCCCTCCTCCAGGACTCTGGAGCATCTTTATGGGGGCTGCGTGGGGAAGGGCTGTCTCCGCCACCACGCAGGAGCCAGGGTGTAGACCCCACAGGGCTGAGGAGCAAGGAGGACCCTAACTTACATATGGCTCAGGAAGCCCTGGTCATGAGCCCTGGGCAGTCACTGCTCTAGTTTCCATTTTTTCATCAACAAAATGGGCTGAGTCTCACCACCCCACAGGCTTGCTGTGAGGATCAAATGAGCCGATGAAGGCACAGTTCTCCACGTGCAGCAGGCGCTCAGGACGCGCTGGTCCCTCCTACTCTGCACTGCATCCTGGCAGAGCCAGCCCCAGGATGGTCTCTGGGGAGAGGCTGAACGGGGCCAGGTGGAACATGAAGGAGTGGACCCCCTTCCTGAGGTCTAGCCCAGCAGCTAGGGCAGTCCCAGATCCCACAGTCCACTCACATTCATTGAGGACTCAACCTGTTTCAGGTACCATAGGGCATAGAGATGATCACAGCATGGATTTCATATCCCAGTGGGGAAAATGACCCTGGGGCACTGGAGAGAGTCATAGGATGGGGCCAGAGCCACTGGGAATGGCACAGAGAAAATCTGGATATGGTGTTGAGGAGGTATTGGGGACAAACCAGCCTCCTCCTGGGAACAGACACTGAGGACTCTGTGTAAAGAGCCAGAACTCAGGCCTTGCTGGAAGGCATTTGTTTTCCCTGAAAATGACAAGCATCTGGAAAATTGCTGCTGGCCCCTCTCCCTGATGTGGCTTTCAGGCAGAATGTGTCTCGTGGGTGGGAGGCATGAAGACCCTCTTTCCAGCCTTGCGTGCAGACAGGCAGGCCCTGCCACCCTCTGTCAGTAGAAGCTGGAAGGGCTGGGCACAGCCCTGCGGTGACTACTGCAATTCGGAGCTGGTGTTTCTAGCCCAGCTGCTCATTTCTGAGTGTGGCTTCCCCTCACTGTGAGCACCTGCTCTTTCATAAGGTGGGCGCTAAGCATTCTGGCTGAGCATGGAGGCTGCAATTTCATTGCAGGTTGGAGCACTTTGCATGGAGAATGACACAAATTCTGGGTAAAATGCTACATGGAATTCTGCTGCAGTTACTTATTCAATTCTCCCATCTCCTGGAAGTTCTTTGGTGGCAGTCCTATGTCTATTTTACTTACTGTCTTTTCCTCCATGCCTGACACATGTAATGGCACACTTTAAACATTTGTTGAGTGGTTGAAGAAAGGGGGCACTGAAAGCAGGAAATGGGTTCTAGCAACTCCGTTAAAATTTCTCTAGGCATGGGAGAAACACCGTGGAATTTTAGGAACAAAGATGGTGATAAAGAGAGGAGTGAGAAGAGTCAAGACACTTGACGAAATACACAAGGTAGTTGAACCAAACAGCTTTGTGGTGAGAGAGTTATGGTGTATCAGCCAGCTCCTGCTGCATAACAAACCACCACAAACTTATTGCTTAAAATAACAAGCATTTATTGAACTTAGGAGTGTGTATGCAAGCTGGCTGCTTCTGCTGACCTAGGGTGGGTTTGGTTGATCTTGGATGGATATACTTCTGCATCTGCAATCAGCCTGTGGATTGGCTGGGAGATGACTGGCTTGGCATGGTCTCAGGGGAGTTGACTCATTTCTGTTTCATGTGGTCTTATCTGAGTGCAGGCCAGCCCAGACACATCTTCATGTTCAAAAGAGAGGATGAAAGCACACAAGGTGTTTTGAGGCATAGGTGGATATCTTGACTGTATATTCTCATTTCTGTATTATTGATGCTCTGGCATTTGGGGCCTTGATCCTGGAGACATTGCCCTACCAGGGCTAGTTATTCTCCAGAGATAGCAAAGGACTCTCCTGAGAGCACATCTTTGATATTCAAACCAACCGATCCAGAGCCCACATCCCCAGCCACCTCCTTTATCTAACTCTCCCACACCAAGCCAATATTCTTCCTGCCCTGCCCCAAATCACCCCAGGTCCAGGTAGTGGACATCTAGGGACCACCCTTATGGGACAAAGCTCACTTAAGTTATCCAACCACCCAATTGTAAGCTTACTCAGCAACCTACCCTGCGTTGCCCATTCCTGCCCACGAGAGCCCCAGTGAATGCTCTGGGCATTCGATTTCCTCTTCTCCCCCTATCTCCTGACTTACCCTGCTGCTTCCCTGCATGGAATGCTATGCCTCTTGTTTCCAGGAATCTGTGAGAATAAACATTTTCCTTCATGACAGTCATTTCCATATCTGTGTGTCTTGTAAATACCTGATTAAAACAAATCCTGGGTACATTTTAAAACAGCTGAAAACTGGCACATCACTTTTGTCATATTTTATGAGAAAAAGCAAATCACAGGGCCACCCCAGATTCAAGAGTTGGGGAAATAGACCTCACCGCTTGATAGCAAGAACAGCAAAGTCACCTTTCAAAGGACTGGATAGAGATACAAATTGAGAAGCACAGTGGCTGTTTTCCAATCAATCTTTCACTTTTTAACATCTCATTATTCACTATTTATATTCTTGATAAAAAACTGTCAGGAAGGTAGAAATAGAAGGGAAATTCTGCCAACTGAGAAGAAGCACCTATGAAAAACCAACAGCAAACATTGTACTCAATGGAGAAAGACTGAATATTCTTCCCCTAAAATCAGGAACAAGGCAAGCACATCCGCTCTTCCACTTCTACTAAACATTTTACTTAAAGTTCCAACCAGTGAAATACGGAATGAAAAAGAAATTAAATGCATCCATGTTGGAAAGGAATAAATAAAACCTTTTAGTTAAAGACAACATGATAGAGCTAAGTGAGTTTAGCAAAGTTTCAGGATGTAGGACCTATATAGAACAATCAGTTGTATTTCCAAATACCAATAGCAGAACAATCAGTGATTGAAATGAAAGTTACCATTTAAAACAGCATCACAAAATGTAAAATACTTAGAGATAAATCTGAAAAGATGTGCAAGACCCATACACTCTGAATGAAAAACATTACTGAGATAAAGAAGATCCAAATGAATGGAGAAATAAATATTATCCATGGGCCACATGATTTAATATTGATAAAATGGTCAATTCTCCCCAAATTGATAACTAGGTTCAAGTCAATCCCAACCAAAAGTACAAGAGGCTTTTGATTTACCAGCTGAAATTTACAAACTCATAAAAAATTCATATGGAAATGCAAAAGACCTAGCATAGCAAAATAGAAAACTTTGAAAAAGAGAAAAAAATATAGTTGGCATCATCAAAACAAGGCGGTGTTGGCATAAATGTGAACAAAAAGATTTATATGGAACAGAATAGAGTGTTCAGAAATAGACCCATTCATATAAGAACAACTGATTTCTGACAAAAGTGCAAAGGCCATTTGCGGAGAGCTTTTCCAACAAATGATGCTGGCACAATTGGATGTTCATATGCAAAAAAGGAGAGCGTTCATTCATACCTTACACAATATAAAAATTTAAAGTGGATCATAGACTTAAAAATAAATCCTAAAATTATAAAACTTAAGAAGAAAACAGAGGAAAAAATCTTTGTTACCTTGGATTAGTCAAGGATTTCTCAAATATAACACCAAAAGCATGACTCATAAGACATTGATAAATTTGGTTTTATAAAAATTAAAAATGTTTTTTGAAAGACACTGCTAAGACAATTAAAATACAAGCCATAGATTGGGAGAATATTCTCAAAGCATATATCTGATAAAATATTTACATCTAGGGCATGTAAATAACTCCCAAAACAAGCCACCAATAAAAAACAGGCAAAGGATTCACATATCAAGAAGACATGTGAACGTAAAGATGTCCAACATGAAGATGCTGGACATCTTTAGTCATTAGGAAAACATACATTAAGAACCACAATGAGATACCACTACACATCTGAGGTATCAGAATGGCTAAAATTAAAAAGATCATACCAAGTTCTGTCCAGGATGTGGAGGAACTGGTACTCTCATGAACTGCTGGTGGGAGGGTAAAATGGTCCAACAACTTTAGAAGACAGTTTGACAATTTTTTTTTTATTATGCTTTAAGTTCTGGGTTACATGTGCAGAACGTGCAATTTTGTTATATAGGTATACATGTGCCCTGGTGGTTTGCTGCACCCATCAATCCGTCACCTACATTAGGTATTTCTCCTAATGCTATCCCTCCCCTATCCGCCACCCCTGACAGGCCCTGGTGTGTGATGTTCCCCTCTCTGTGTCCATGTGTTCTCATTGTTCAACTGCCACTTATGAGTGAGAACACGCAGTGTTTGGTTTTCTGATCTTGTGATTGTTTGCTGAGAATGATGGTTTCCAGCTTCATCCATGTCCCTGCAAAGGACATGAACACACCCTTTTTTATGGCTGCATAGTATTCCATGGTGTATATGTGCCACATTTTCTTAATCCAGTCTATCATTGATGGACATTTGGGTTGGCTCCAAGTCTTTGCTATTGTGAATAGTGCTGCAGTAAATATATGTGTGTGTTTGTCTTTATCTCGATGTGGTGATGGTTTCAAGGATGTATATTTACATCAAAACATAGCCAATTGTACATTTTAAATACATGGGGTTTATTTCATGTCAGTTGTATCTTAATAAAGTGGTTAAAAAATTCTTATTCAGATCTCCTGCTACAGTTCAGGCGGAACATTTCTGACAGGAATCAGGTGAACAGGTTGGGGAATAAAGGAGAATTTACCCAATTGTCCATGACCAACCCCATGTCTGGGCAGATGGCTCCTCATTCAGGAAGGGTCAACAAAAAAACAAAAACAAAAGCAAAACAAAACAAAACAAAAAACAAAAGAGGGAAACTTGAGCCAGGGCCCTGCTGGATCCTTGGGACAGAGAGAGGGCTCAGTTGGGCCCTGCCCTGGGCAGACCTTCCCTGGGAAGTTGCATCAGAGAGCTCAAAAGAGAGAGAGAAGCTTGGTTGGAGGGGCTGTTTAATGAGGAATGCCAAAGGAGTGGGATTGTAGAACCTGGGGACAGAAAATCCCTG
>NW_018654707.1:0-140355 GCF_000001405.40 Homo sapiens
GTGTTTGTATGTTTGGAGGAGTGCGGAGATACCTACTCTACTTTCAGAGCTCTTCAAGCCATTTCCATAGAATGGCCCTGAAAATTTCACCTAAGTACTTAAACAAGAAAGAACAGTGTTACAATAGATATGGGTAGAAATCATTTTCAAATAACTGAAGTTTCTACCTTTCTACTTGTAAGAAAACAAGTACAGCTTTAACTATATTTCATTATATAATTTACAGTGGGTTCCAGGAAAACCAATAATTATTATTTAAGATTTTTTCTCACATATTTCTAAGAAACTCAAACACCTCTGTTCAAAAATAAACATCAAATTTTATACTTTATACTGAACTATGATGAATGTAAGATCTTTTTTTTTTCAGGATTGAGAAGGTGGCATTTTATTTTAATTTTCTTTTTTATTATTATTATACTTTAAGTTTTAGGGTACATGTGCACATTGTGCAGGTTAGTTACATATGTATAGCATTGGGAGATATACCTAATGCTAGATGACGAGTTAGTGGGTGCAGCGTACCAGCATGGCACATGTATACATATGAATGTAAGATCTTACCCTCCAAAAGAATTATTCTGTTTTATTTTATTATGTAATTTATTTAATTTCCTAAAAGGTTCTGATTTTTATTGCAGAGGTGTTTATCTTGTATATTTTCAGACTCTACTATGACTTGTTAATTTTGTCCCTTTAGCATTTTATATTTTTTTCTATAATTGATATATGTGTGTCTGTGTATATGTGTGTGCCTGTATAAATGGGAAGTACCTCACTGTGTAAACTTATGAAGACATCTTGACTAGAATTTGTAATTTTTAATTTGTGATAATTTTTACTGTTAATATAGTTTTCTTAACACAAGATTGTGAAAACATAGCTTTAAAACATAGCCCTAAGGAGAAAGAAAACTATTGCCACTTCACTCCATGTTCACTTCTAGCAACTATTGAGATTTTTATTGCTCTTGTTGTAAGTTATGATATTCATGGGTAAGTAAATCATTGGTTTTTCTTAAGATGAGAAAAAGTCAGCCGGGTTTGAAGTGGAATAATTTTAAAGGACTATATCAAATACCTTTCCAAATTTATAACAGTCACCCATGTTTATGACATTTAATTTTTTTTGTTCTGAAATACACATTTTTAACAATATACTTTTAGAAAAGTGCATAGAATGTGAAGGTACAGATTAGTGAAGCACTATTTTAAAGTTAACATCCATTTCATTCCACAGTGATTAAGAAACAGAAAATTACCAACACTCCAAATGCCTTCTGCAAGCCTTTTTAAAATTATAACCCCCATTTTCTTCCTTAAAAGTAACCACTGTAATTATTTCACCATCATCATTTCCTCATTTTCCTTATATTTTTACTATTTAGCTTTGAATCCCTCTGAAAGAATGACTGGCTTTTATATGTACTCATACAAAGCCACAATACATCATACAACATGTAATTATAACATACACTTTTTTGTTTCTGGCTTCTTTTGCTTAACATCATATGTTAGAATTCCTCTGTGCTGTTGTGCAGCTGTTGTTCCTTCATTTCTTGAATCCATGTAGCATTTCATAGTATATCTATAGAATTATATATTTATTCATTATATTTTTGGAAGATATGTTTTATGTTACTTGTCTATTAAAGACAGTGATGCTATAAACATTCTTGGATATCAGTACTGAAAACTTCTCCTAGATTACACAATGCTGAGCTGCAAGTTTTTGAGAACACTGACTGTATCAGTCAGAGTTTGCCACAGAAACAACCAATAGAAAGGAAGTATGTCTGTGCGCATATATATGTATACGTACATTTTGTATATTATATCCATTATATATATACACATACACGCACACACACACACACACACACACACACACAGAGAGAGAGAGAGAGAGAGAGAGATTGTTTTAAAGAATTCTCTCATATAGCTGTAGAAGCTGACAAGTCCAAAAGTCCGAAATCAGCAGGGTGGGCTGGGAGACTAGAGACCCAGGGTAAAGTTGATTTTACAGCTGGTGTCTGAAGGCAGTCCAGGGTTAGAATTCTCTCTTCCTCAGGAGACCACAATCTTTTTTTCAGTTAAGATCGTCTACTGATTAAATGAGCCCCACCCACATTATGGAGGGTAATCTACTTTACTCAATGTCTACAGATTTAAATGTTACTCTCGTCTAGTAAGTATTCTGCATAGCAACATCTACACTGGTATTTGACCAAAAATCTGAGTAGCATAGCCTAGTCAAGTTGGCAGATAAAATCAACCTTCACATTGGTTTAGTTCCAGTTCACCAGTATGCATGATGGGTGTGTCTACCTCATCTCAGCTTAAAGGTTTTTTAAGATACCAAGCCTTGGGTGTCCCTGTACTGTATTTTTTGTCACCTCAACTCTTTGATAAAATTTCAGATCATGGTTATACTATAAATTGTCTTTTATTTAGATAGAACCACATGCAGAACATTAATAAGCCTTTTTTTCTTAAATCATGAGAGCAAAAACTGTAGAAAAGTCTTGCTTTTGTTGCTGTTGATAATATTGTTTGTATTTGTTTTCATCATAGACCTTGAAAAATTTTGCTATTTGAAACTATATGAAAACTATACTGTGGGGAAAACCAGTCTGGAATTAGGACAGATTACAATGTTGAAGCATTCCTACTTAGAATCAACGTCTGCTAGAGCCAGTTGAATCCTATGAACTGAGTGTAATGCTCACGAACTGTTGAGAAATATTGTTGGTTCAAATCTAGGACTCTTGCCCAGCAAGTTTTCTGAGTTCAGGTTTTATTTTTGAATTGGCCTTATAATCTTATCAATACCAGTCTGTCTCTCAAAAGAAAAAAAAAAAGCAGCCTTTCAGTCACCTCTAGGATTCGAACAACCACTAATTTGTTCTTCATCACTATTATTTTGTCATTTTGATAATGTTAAATAAATGAAATCATATAGTATATAACATTTTGAAGTTGGCTTTTATTCACTCAGCATATTGCCCTTGAGATCCATGTAGGTTATTTCTTATATCAATATATTTTAGATTTTTTTCTCTTTTTATTGTTGAGTGGTCCATGGAATGGATGTATGATAGTTTGTTTAACCATGTACCTATTTAGGACATTTTGATATTTCCAGTTTGGGGCACCTACAAATAAAGCTGCTATGAACAACAATGTATAGGTTTTTGTGTGTACCTGTTTTTATTTGTCTGGAATAGATACACCGAGGTATGATTGTGATATTGTATGATAAATGCATGTTTACTTTTTTTTTAAAAAAACTGCCAAGCTATTTTGCCATGGGTGTACCATGTTACATCCCAACAGCAATGCATGAGAAATCTGGCTTCTCCACATCCTCGCAGCTTTTCCTATTGTAACTAGTTTTTATTTTATCTCTTCTAATAGGTTTGTAGTGGTTCTTAATTGTGATTTTCATTTGCATTTCCCTAATGACTAGTAATGTTGAACATCTTTTTTCTGTGCTTTTTTATAATCCATGTATCCTTGTCAGTGAAGTGTCTCTTTGTTTTGCCATTTTCTAATTGGATTGTTATTTTTTCTTACTGTTCAGTTTTGAAATTTTTTTTGATATATATTATAGCTCTGAGTCCTCTTTCAGATATGTGGTTGTAAATATATTCATCCAGTCTGTAACTTTTCTTTTCATCTTCTTAACAATATCTTTCATAAAGCAGAGGTTTTAAATTTCAGTGAAGTCTAGTTTACTTTTTTTTCCTTTTATGAATTATGCTTTTGGTATCATATCTAAAAAGTTTCACTAGGCACTAGTTTCTGAAGATTTTCTATGATTTTTTTTTCTAAAGGTTTTTATAGTTTTCTGTTTAAATCTATGATTCATTTTGAGTCAAATTTTTTACAAGATATGAAGTTCAGGTAAAGTTGCTTTTTATTTATTTATTTTGACTATGGATATTCAATTGCTCCAACACCATTTTAGCACCATTTCTTTTGAAATGGCCATATTTCCTCCATTGAATTGCTTTTGCATCTTTGTCAAAAGTTAGTTATGTAGGGCTATTTCTAGGTTCTCTATTCTGTTCAATTAATCTATGTGTCTATCCCTCCACCATTCCTGGTTATTTTAACTATATATAAGTCTTCAAATGAGGCAGTATAGTTCCTCCCACTTTACTCTTTAATCAAAATTATTTTAGATCTTCAAGTTCCTTTGTATCTCTATATACATACAGTTAGAATAAGTTTGTGTATGTCTAAAATATTGCTAGGATTTTGATAGGAATTTTGTTCAAAATATATATCAATTTTGGGATAATTGGGATAATATTTATTGAGACTTTCAATCCATGAGCATGGCACGTTTCCTATTTACTTTGGACTTCTTTAATTTCTTGAAACAACATTGTATAGTTTTCAACATACACGTTTAAGTTTTATAAGATTTATACCTATTTCAATTTTTTAACCATTCCTAATATATGGAAATAGAATAGCTTGTTATATGTTACTCTTGAATTGTCTTAACTAAAATCATTTATTCTATGTTAACTTTTATATTTCTTGAGATTTTTGACATATATCATTGTTTCATATATGCGTAAGATTAGTATTCAGTTTTATTTTTTCCTATTCAGTTGATACATCTTTTATTTCCTCATTTCTTTTTTTTAAAATTTATATGGCTTTATTGTATGGCTAGAACTTCTGGTACTATGTTGGATAGCTGTAGTGAGTATAGCCACCCTTGCTTTTTTTTTCCTGATCTTCAAGGAAAAGCATTCCATCTTTCATCATTAATTATGGTATTAGCTGTGGAGGTTTTGTTGTTGTGGTGGTGGTGGTTGTTGTTTTGTAAGTGTTCTTTATAAAATTGAGTAACTTCTCCTGTATTCTTAGTTTTCTGAAAACTTTGTTTTGAAGATCACGAATGGTGTTAAATTTTCTTAAATGCTTTTTCTGCATCAGTTGATATTGTGATTTTTTTTATTTTGTAGTCTGTTACTATGAAGGATTACATTGACTGATTGTGGAATACTGACTCAGCCATTTTTTAGTTGTTCTATCAATTTTTATCAGAGGAATGTTGTAGTTTCTAACTATGATTTTAGATCCATCTATTTTCCCTTTTAATTCTATCAGGTTTGGTTCACACATGTTGCAGCTCTGTGGTTTGGTGATGTACATTTGGGATTGCTATACTTTCCTAATAGATTGACTCCTTTCTCCTTAAGTAATGGTATTTTCAGCCCCTAGCAATTTTCTCTGAAGTGTAAGATATCTAATGTGATTGGAGCCTCATCTGCTTTCATTTGATTCCTGTTTGCAATGGTATATATTTCTCTGTTTTTTTAATAATTTCTCAACCTACCTATATTATTAAATTTGAAGTGAGTTTTTTGTAGCCCTCATACACCTGGGTGATATTTTCAATCTACTCTATCAAATGTACATTGTTTAATTGGCAAATTTCATTTACTTATTGATGTGTTGGAGATTAATTCTACCATTTTAATTTTTTGTTTTCTGTTTGTTCTCCTTGTTTTATTTTTCTTCTCTGTTTTCTGTTTTCCTGCCTTCCAGTGGGTTATTTGAACATTTTTAATAATTGTATTTTGATTTATTTTAGCATTTTTTAGTGTATCTCTTTGTATAGGATTTTTAGTGGTTATTCTAGGTGTTATATGCACCAACTTGTCACAGTCTACTAGTGTCAACACCTTACCTTATGAGCTAAGTGTAGAAATATCACTACCCTTTGTATCTCTTTTGCTTCCCAATTTTATAATTGGTTTCAGCATTTCTTCTGCATACACTGAGAATCACATCAGACAGCATTATACATTTTCCTTCAACCGTAAAAAATAATTTAGCACACTCAAGTCTAGGATAGTTTATTCTATTTACCTATACCTTTACTCTTTCTGTCTTCTTTGTTCTTTACTCACTGAAATAAAGTTTCTATGTTTCTCTGAGAATTCCTTGATTTTTTTTTAATTCCTGAACTGTATTTTTGCTCAATACAGTATCTTTAGTTGACAGTTCTTTGCTTTTAGTGCTTGAAAAACATGCAACATCTTTTTGAACTTTATAGTTTCTGATAACTCTTGACATTCAAAAGATTTTCCCCTGTAGATTGTTTCATTTCTCATGTGCTACTTTCTATTATTTTTTTTCTGTCTTGAGTGTTCAAAAGTTTTACTGGTTTTTCTCTACTATGAATTTCTTTAGGTTCAACCTGTTCTGGGTTTGCTAAACTTTTTTTTTTTTTTTTTTTTTGAGATGGAGTTTTGCTCTTGTTGCCCGGGCTGGAGTGCAATGGTGCTGCGATCTCGGCTCACCGCAACCTCTCACCTCCCGGATTCAAGCGATTCTTCTTCCTCAGCCTCCCAAGTAGCTGGGAATACAGGCATGTGCCACCATGCCCAGCTAATTTTGTATTTTTAGTAGAGACGGGGTTTCTCCTTGTTGGTCAGGCTGGTCTCGAACTCCTGACCTCTGGTGATTCACCTACGTCTGCCTCCCTGAGTGCTGGGATTACAGGTGTGAGCCACCACGCCCAGCCTAAACTTCTTGAATCTGTAGATTTATGTCTTATAGTAAATTTTTGGATATTGTTTGTCATTTTTTCAAATACTGTTTCAATTGCACCCTCATTTTCTTTGTTTTTGAAACTCTGATGACACAAATGTTAGATCTTTTGTTATAGTCTCACATGTCCCTGAGGATTTATTTTATTTTAGTCTACTTTCTCTTTGTGGTTCACCCTAGGTAATTTCTGTTCTTCTGTCTTCAGATTTACTGTTTGTTTATTCTGTCTACTGTTGAGCCCATTCATTGCATTCTAAATTATGGTTATTTTTCTGTTCTAAAATTTCTTTTTTTTTTTTTTGCATCTTTCATTTTTTAGCTAAGACTCTTTTTCTTTGCTGAGTCTCTTTGTCCACAATATTTTTTTCATTTCTTTTGAACAAATTTATTTATTGTTTTTTAAAGCCTTTTTATAATACCTGCTGTAAAATCCTTGTTTGATAATTCTAATATCTGTGTAATTTTGATGTTGGCATCCATCTTTTAATCTTTTTTGCAAGTAGAAATGTTTTTGGTTCTTAATATAGTAAATAATTTTTATTGAAAACTGGATATTTGGGTATTATGAGACTCCAGAAGTTATTTAAATCATCTGTTTTAGCAGTCTTCCTCTGGTATCTTTCCAGGGATGGGGTGGGGCTGCTAATATTTTTTGTGGTATTTGACTGAAGTAGATCAATTATTGTCTAAAAGCTTTTTATCTTTCTAGGTTGTCCCTTTATTAGTATTTGTTAGAGCATCCTTTTGTTTTGGACTTTTAAATCTATACTGTTGCAGTTTCTAAGTTACCAGCTTCTTTAGCACCTAGTCTGGAATACATGAGGCAAAAAGGAAACCCCAGGAACTCACCGTTATATTTTCTCAGGTCCTCAGGTTCCTAACCAGTCTGTCTTCTACCTTTCAAAGTCATCCTACATGTGTTTTATATATTATTTCAGTGTTTGTAGTGTACTTAGTGGAAAGAATAAGGAAGCATACATCTAATCCATCCTTCCAAATTCATACCCCTCTTTAATAGTATTTAAATTATAAATTTATTTTTTTCTAGTATGCTCAACCCAGGCTTTCATCTCTCTATCTGAGACTGTTACTTCAGCTGAGCTTGTTCATTATCATTATATAATACAATGTAAGTGATGTCTACAAAGGAAACATAACAATTAAAGGATGAAAATTTTGTGTGTGTTCACTTAATCACAGAACTCTGACTAAGGATTTAAAAACACCCAGGCTGTCTATCAATCTATGTATTTTTATGTTTCTGTCACCACTGATGATTGTCTGTGTCGATCAGAAAAACTTTGTGGCAATATACGTAAATTGTGAAGATGGCCACCTTTAGTGGAAAGACCTCATGGTTAGAAATTAATGAAAAGTAAAATTTTTCATGAATGTAGTTGAAGTTTAAACTAGCAATTTTAGGTTAAATAATAGTCAAAACTGGAAAGAAAGTTGAAATAAATAGCACGAGACCTCAATTCTTGTCAAGTTTTAGCCAGTAAATGGTAAAAAACCAAAGACAAATCTGTTTCTTTGGATTCTATTTTAGCTCTTGCAAGATAAAGGGATGGAAATAATATGTAATCTCTAAAGCTCCTTTCTGAATAATTGGATGGAATATGTATATTTAGTGGTTTAATTGTATGAAATACTGCTTCTTGATCATGGGACATCTCAGTCCTTATCATAAGAGGAGATTTAATTTTGTGTACTCAGTGCTTACTCTCCATCTCTCAATTCCTCTGGATATGATTGGATGAGCTAGCCCAACAATTGGTTCAGTTTTCTTGTTATTATTATTATTGATAAAATAAGATATAATTAAGCATGACACCTAAATTCAGTTTTTTTTTTTCCTAGAGATTATGGGTGAAATGTATTTGGACCACAAGTTAGGGATTTGCACTCATGGATAAATAATAACAAAGTATCAAACTAAATATAAAAGATTAATTAGAATGTTTAGATGTAATTTTGGTAGAAAAGTAAATATTTTTATTGTATACTGGTACATATTATTTCCTGGCATTAGCATACAAATGCTTCTGCAGGTGTGCATGCACACACACACGTACACACCGCCCCACACATTTTTACATGTATTAAAATATATTTAAGACACTGGCATTAGGTTTAAAAAATACTTGAATGGAACATGTTCCAGTATTCTATAATTGGGACAAGTCTGCAGTCTAAAGAATATTTGCCCAGCCCCTACAATTTCTACATGAGGCATGTAAATGGTTAGGTCTTAGAACAAACAAAATTATGCTCTTTTGCAATCATTGTAATCTAGGAGTTGCATTTACATGGATCTGTCAGTTTTAATTGGATTTATAAGGTAAGGTTTATCTGTGATCATTTATGGGTGATCTAATTTTCCATTACTCAAAGAGCAAATCCAGATGCTATCAGAAACTCTTAATGATTTTATTCCTGTCTCCTCTGAGAAAGGAGAGGATTGTGGCGAGACAATAGCAAATTTTAAATATTTTTATTAGCTTATTTTTTCCAAATGTTTTTTTCTGTTGGCCATATCAACATTCAGAAACTAACTTCGGCATTCCCAAATGACTCACTTATCTTGATTATTCATGTATAATGGTGGTGTTATTTTTCAGTGTGGGATCAAATGGCTTTTCAAAAGTGAACTCAGCTTATTTCATTATGACCGATTTTCTGATGTTCCATACAATTTTCACTGTAGAATGAAAGCAGCAGCATGAAAGTAATAACGGATTAATATTTAATATAATAATTTCTCAAATGATTGTTATTTATATTTATTATGATTCCACCTCAAACATGAATTTATTTCAAAAATAGTTTGTTCTAGAGGATTCAGGATTTTTCTAAATTATCTTGTGACCTGGGACACACTGTCAAGTTTTAGAAGAGATTAAGAGAACTAAATACATACGCCAAGTCACGATTTAAGGCAAAACAGATAAAATGTGTAAAAAAAAAAAATCAGATCCGCCCCAAACATTCACTGAGAACTTATGTGCCAAAAAATTATTTTATTAACTCATTTTATGTAATAGTATTTATTTGTATATTACATTTTATTTTGGAAAATAGAGGTAACATGTTTATTTAAATATATTTACCTGTAATTACATAACTCTAATGTAAAGGATTATATTATAAAGCAGTTTAATCAACTTTTTTGTTTTAACAATATTCTAAGCCTGTGTTAGTTTATTCTCACTCTGCTGATAAAGACATACCCCTGGGCAATTTACAAAAGAAAGAGGTTTAATTGGACTTAGTTCCATGTTGCTGGGAAAGCCTCACAATAGTGGTGGAAGGCAAGGAGAAGCAAGTCACATCTTACTTGGATGGTAACGGGGCAAAAAGAGAGCTTGTTAGCGCAACTCCCATGTTTTAAAACCATCAGATCTTGTGAGACCCATTTACTATCACAAAAAGAGCACGGGAAAGACCTGCCCCCATAACTCAATCATCTCCCACTGGGTTCCTCCCACAACATGTGGGAATTACAGGAGCTACAAGATGAGATTTGGGTGGGAACACAGAGCCAAACCATATCAAAACCCTATTATTTTTCCCTTTTTCTAGCTAAGGATAATACCTTCATCATTATTTGATTTTTCATCAGTAAGACCCTTACTATATCTCAAAATTAGTATTCTAAGTATTGTTTAAAACTGTTTTTATTGAGTGTATGTTAAGCCCTGAGTCTGTTTTTTTCTTCAGAAAAATAAGTACTTAATAAAGCCCTGTTTGTTCTTTGCCATTTGTAGGCTAAAATTAATTGAAATTTTTTTAACTATATAACTGCACTGGTCTTAACAGTTCTTCTTGCTTACCTACCACTTAGTCTTCCAGTGTAATATTTTCAGACCACAATATTTTCATGTTTCCCCTCTAAAACTTTTCTATGGCTTCATATTATACTGTGAAGAATACCCCAAATCCTTAACATAGTTTGTTGACTACAGGATCTGGTTTCTCTCCTACTTAGCAACCTCTTCATAGTGGTTCATGTGTTAGTTTGCTAACACTGCTGTAACAAAGTACTACAGACTAGGGATTTAAACAACAGAAATTTATTTTTTCATAATTTTGTCAGCTGGAAGTCCAAGATCAATGTGCTTACAGGTTTGGTTTCTCCTGAGGCCTCTTCCTTCGGCTTTCAGATGGCCACTTTCTCACTGTGTCTGCACATGGTCTTTCCTCTGTGAAGGTATCCCTGGTTTCTTTTTTGCTCTTATAAGGACACCTGTTATATTGAATTGGATACCTACTTTTATGATTCAGTTTAACCTTACCTCTTTATTGTTCCTATCTGCAAATACAGTCACTTTGCCGGTGAGGGGTTCAACATAGAAATTTGGGGTAGACAAAATATAGTTAATACTAGTCCATCCTCCATGAAATCTCTGTTTTTGCTTGCTGTTTTATCCCCAGGATCTGTCATCATACCTACATATAGCAGAAGCTCAAGAAATATTTGTTGAAAGAATTAAAGAATTAGTGAACCGGCTGGGTGTAGTGGCTCATGCCGGTAATCCCAGCACTTTGGGAGGCCAAGGTGGGTGGATCATTGGAAGTCAGGAGTTTGAGACGAGTCTGGCCAACTTGGTGAAACCCCATCACTACTAAAAATACAAAAATTAGCCAGACGCGGTAGGGGGCGCCTGTAATCTCAGCTGCTTGGGAGGCTCAGGCAGGAGAATCACTTGAATCTGGGAAGTGGAGGTTGCGGTGAGCAGAGATTGCACCACTGTGCGACAGAGTGAGACTCCATGTCAAATAATAATAATAATAATAATAGTAATAAGTCAACCTAAATATTCGTCATGTAATATGCATGCTTAAGCACTCTACAAGACTTCAGAAATAGAGATTAATAAGATAAGGAACCTATTTTCACGGAGCTAAAATAGGCACACACATACAGACACACTCATACCCCTAAATAAAATAGTATATAAAGTTATACTCTTTAGTTCTTTGGTTCAGATTTTTTTACCTTTAAGATGGTGATATGTTTATATTTAGAGGAGGTGCCCCATACATACAAAGAATTGAACATAAACAGTGACTGCCCATTGAGAATAATTCTGTAAAGACTACACTCCCACTCCAGTTTCTGTGCAGTATGCCTTTGGCAGCTGTTCCAGTTTTGACCCAGGCTGACTTAGAAAGTGTAACTGCCTCATTCATTCTTGTCTTTTTGTAGGAGTTTACTGCAATGGTGACAGAAATGAAGTGCTATGGCACACAGAGGAATTTGCAATTAACAGTCTTCACATTAGAGAAAACATTTGAGCTCTGTGTTAAAGAATATGTAGAATATATCAGTAAGAAGAGCATAAGGAGGTCTTCTAAAAAGAAGAAACAGGCCAGGCGCGGTGGCTCACACCTGTATTCCCAGCACTTTGGGAGGCTGTGGCGGGCAGATCACGAGATCAGATCAAGACCATTCTGGCTAACACAGTGAAACCCCGTCTCTACTAAAAATACAAAAAAATTAGCCGGGCATGGTGGCGGGTGCCTATAGTCCCAGCTACTCGGGAGGCTGAGGCAGGAGAATGGTGTGAACCCGGGAGACAGAGCTTGCAGTGAGCCGAGATCATGGCACTGCACTAAAGCCTGGGTGACAGAGCAAGACTCCGTCTCAGAAAAAAAAAAAAAAAAAAAAACAGCATGATAAAAAATGAGCCTAGGAATATGAGCCTTTCTAGGCAGCTTTGTTAGGCTTGACTACATAATGAGTGCTGAAATAAGTGATACACACTAATGCACAAAAAAATTAGTTTGGGAAAGATTGGGAAAATTCATAAATGTTTTCTGAATAAATTGTAACTTACATATTGTAAGTCTGGGAATATCATGATCACCTTTGTGTTTTAGAAATGTAATATGGCCACAATATGAAAGACAGACTAGAATGAAAGGAATGGTGGAAAAGGAAATGAGGGGATTGATGCAGTTAATCCGTATTTTTAACTGAAAAGAGCTATATGGTAGTTTTGTACATAGGTTATAGTATATAGCCTTGAATATTCTAACTGAAACCATAAACTGATTCCTGTATTTATAAGCTGCCATTATGTGATATGATAACGTTTACTGGCCAATATTTTCATTAAAACTATTTGGTAGTGCTAGCCAAAGACAGTCAACAAATACTAGTCTAGAAAGATATTTCTCTTTGGATAAATATGTGAGGGAGACAATATAAAACAAAAGTTCACATGGAACATACATTAATAAAATACTGCAGAAGCAAAAAAAAGTGAATCATTCAAAAATGAAAAGGGTACAAGACAAAAATAAAAGTTAAAGAAAAACCAAATGCAATAGTAGAATTAAAATTCATATTCTAAATATTAAAACATAAAAACATACAAGTAGTATTGACATTTCAGCAAATTGGATAAGTGATATGGAGGAAAAACATGAAGAAATATCCAGATACCTGAGGGAAAAAAATGTGATGTATAATAAGTATTAAATGTGTATGATAAATTTGACACAACAAGTAAATAAGAAAAGGAAAGGTTTTTTAAAAAGTAGTAATGAGAAAATGTGTTAACTACTTGGAGAAAATTAGCATTAGACCCTCATCTGATATCATGCTCTAGAGGAAACTAAAGTCGGCCAGGAAAATGGGAGAGGGTAATATTTTACTGATCTCAGGATGGGGGATTACATTAAAGTATACATAATATAAAATATCAAAAGAGAAAAAAATGAAAAATTTAAGGCCATGTTCAATTTTGTAATTCATAATGTACCATATACATTTTTAAAACATGAAAAACCATGAATAGTTTTATATATATAATATTGTAATAAACTTAATGATAGCCTCTCACTTCTAATATTACATAATTTAATCCTCACACACAACCCTATTAGGTAGGTACTGTAGTTAGCCCCATGGCACAGGAGGAAGAAACTGGGGCACAGATTGGGTCAATAACTTCAGGTCGCAAGAATGCCAAGTGTATAACTGGAATCTGAAATAAGGTAATCTTTCAATCCTGCATTTTCATCCTCTCCACAATTCTGTCTCTGTAATTTCTGTGTGAGCTAAGATTTGGCTAAAATTACAGAAAACAACTAGTGAAAGATTTAAAAGAAAAAGGTAGGGTATTTCTTCCTTTCCAACTTGGACCCGGCAGAATGGCTCCCACAAAGAAGGGTGGCAGGAAGAAAAAAGGGCCATTCTGCCATCAACGAGGTGGTGACCTGAGAATACACCATCAACATTCACAAGCACATCTATGGAATGGGCTTCAAGAAGCATGCCCCTCAAGCACTCAAAGAGATTTGGAAATTTGCCATGAAGGAGATGAGAACTCCAGATGTGTGCCTTGTCTGGGCCCGAGGAATAAGGAATGTCTCACACCGAATCTGTGTGCAGTTGTCCATAAAATGTAATGAGAATGAAGATTCACCAAATAAGCTCTATACTTTGGTTACCTATGTACCTGTTACCACTTTCAAAAATCTACAGACAGTCAATGTGGATAAAAACTAATCACTGATTGTCAAATACATCAAATAAAGTTATAAAATTGCAAAAAAAAAAAAAAAGAAGAAGAAAAAGAAAAAGGTGGGGTATTATGTGGGCATTGGGTTATTCTTTTCAACTCTTCCTCCTCCAGCATTTTCAGTTCCGTGCTGTTACATATGATATCATTAGATCTGTTCCTACAAAGTTCTATCTTAGAACACACATACACACAACATTCCCTAATCCAGAAATCAAAGGAAAACTTAGATGTACAAAGCCAGTTTTCTTAGAAGTAAAGGGAAATTATAAATCTTTCTATCTGTCCATCTATCTTCCCTTTTTTTTCTCTTTCCCTCTTCTCCTCCTCCTCCTCTCTCTTCATCATTGTCACCACCACCATTTATATATCTATGTCTTATATACGTAGCATATCTTTGGTATTCCAAAATAATAGTAAATCTTATCTTTCAGTGATGGGGTTAGATTTTTTTTTTTTTACTTTTTAACTTGTGGTATTCAGTATTTTCCAACTGTTCCATAACAAATGAGAATTTCCTTAATTTTTAGATGTTTCACATATTTTTTGATACTGTTTGAATGTGTGTCTTGCCCAAATCTCATATTGAAATGTAATCTCCAGTGTTGGGGTTGGGGCCCGATGGAATTGATTGGACCACTGGGGTGGTCTTCTCATGAATGGTTTAGCACCATCCCACTTGGTACTCTCCTCATGATTGTGAGTGACTTTTCATGAGATGTGATGTGGACATTTAAAAGTGTATAGCACCCAAGTGCCTCCCCCCTCTCTTTCTTGCTCCTTCTCTGGGCATGTGATGTACCTGCTTCACCTTCACCTTCCACCATGATTGTAAGTTTCCTGAGGCCGCCCCATAAGCCCACCAGATGCCAGCATCATGCCTCCTGTACAATCTGCATAACCATGAGCCAATTAAACCTCTTTTCTGTATAAATTACCCAGTCTCAGGTGTTTCTTTATGGCAGTGCGAGAATGGACATTTAAAAAATTTAAATAAGGCCAGGCACAGTGGCCCACGCCTGTAATCCCAGCACTTTGGGAGGCTGAGGCAGGCGGATCACAGGGTCAGGAGATCAAGACCATCCTGGCTAACAAGGTGAAACACCGTCTCTACTAAAAATACAAAAAATTAGCCGGGCGTGGTGGTGGGCGCCTGTAGTTCCAGCTACCCGGGAGGCTGAAGCAGGAGAATGGCGTGAACCCAGGGGGCGGAGCTTGCAGTGAGCCGAGGTGGCGCCACTGCACTCCAGCCTGGGCGACGGAGCAAGACTCTGTCTCAAAAAAAAATAAAAAATTAAAATGATTATGATTCAACATGGCATCAACATGCCATGGTCAAACAAAAATGCTAATGATGATTCAGTAACAGTTAAATGTTTGCCACACTGAAACCTAAAGCTGACAATCTGATATGAACCTCTGAAAGGTACCTCTAAAATTATAAGATATATAAGTCTGAATTAAAAATAAACAACGAAATTCCTGGGTTCTGTCTCCTGAAATAAGACATTTAAAAAAAAATGATGACACATCTGTTTCCCTTTGAAAACCATGGATCTTAGAAATTTACATCTATATTAACCAGAAAGATAGATAGCAACCTCGCTACTTAGTGAGTTCTCATTTTTAACGATCTTTTAAAAAATCATTTTAATCATAAAAATGTCATCATAGTAAAATAAAAGCCAGGAAAAACTCCTATAATTCACTTATCATCTGATGACATTTTAGTCTATATCCTTTCAGTGTTTTCTCTAGGCATGTTTGTGTTTATTAGTTATCAAGTGTGTAAAGTAAAAATAGACATTTATACTTGTTTGGTTTCTGTGGGTCAGGGATTTGAAAGTGGCTTGGCTGGATATTTTTGATTAAACTCTCTAATGAGTTTACCATCAGATGTTGACTGGAATTTTAGTCATTTAAAGGCTTTCCTGAGGTGGGAAAAATCATTGCCTAGGTAGTCAATCATGTGGCTGTCAGGTTGGTACTGGCTGTTGGTGGGAAGCCTCAGTTCTTTTCCATAAGGGCCTCTTTGGTTGGTTAGCTGAGTAGTCACCTATCTTTATGACTATTCCCTCAGCAAGCAATCTATGAGAACTAGAAGTGGGTATTTTTATGACCTAGCCCTGGAAATCATGTGCCATAAATCTACCGTATACAAATGGTTGTATCTGTGAGACAACATGGAAGGGCAGTACACAAATATGTGAATAACAGGAGTCAAGTTTATTCTGAGTGCCATATTGGGGGTTGGCTCCTACAGGTATGTGTTAAAATGAATACGTTTTGGATTTACAAGTATAGTTTTTAATTTTTTTTCTTTTTTCTTTTTTTGTTTTTGAGATGGGGTCTCGCTTTGTTGCCCAGCAGGCTGGAGTGCAATGGCGCGATCTAGGTTCACTGCAACCTCCTCTTCCTGAGTTCAAGCAATTCTTCTGCCTCAGCCTCCAAAGAAGCTGGGATTACAGATGCCCACCACCACGCCCAGCTAGTTTTTTTGTGTGTGTATGTGTATTTTTTTTTTTTTAGTAGAGACAGATTTTGGCTGTGTTGGCCAGGCTGGTCTCAAACTCCTGACCTCAGGTGATCCGCCTGCCTCGGCCTCCCAAAGTGCTGGGATTACAGGTGTGAGACTCCGCGCCTGGCCAGTTTTAAATATTTTAATTTCTTTTTTTAATTTAGTCGACTTTTCAAGTCATTAATAAACTTTGAAACATTGTGTTTAATTTCAAAATAATGTTTCATTATATAGCTATGTGCAACTGTATAGCCATAATTTATTTAACCTATATCCTCTTATTGGAACAATGAGGTTCTTTTGTTTGTTATCATTTTAAAACAACTGATGAGAAAATATAGTGCTAAATTTTTAGACAGAAAATAATTAATATATAAGTTTGAACTGGGTCCAATGATACAAGTCTGAATGATAAACGTTATATTGCCTGCTGTTCGCATAAAAAGTTATTTCAATTTACTTTCCCCTTATTTGAGTTATTATTTTTTTCCAATTTGATAATCAAAGCATAGTTTCTTATTTTTGTTTTAATTAATATTTCTTTGCTTGTTAATTCTTATGTTTTGGCTCTATTGAGGTGTAATTGACAAATAGAAATTGTATAGATTTAAGGTGCAAACATGATTATTTCATATATATAGTGAAATTATTATTACAATTAAGCTAATTAAACATTGATCATCTCACATAGTTACCATTTTAAATATTTTTTATGATGAGAACACTGAATATCTATCTTATTAATTTTAAAGTATTCAATACCGTATTATTAATTATAGTTACTATGAGCTACATTAGATCCTCAGAACATGTTCCTCTTATAACTCATGACCAACATCTCCCCAATTACCCCACTCCCAGTTTCTGAAAACCATTTTACTCCCTACTTCTATGAATTCAACATTTTTAGACTCTACATATACGTGAGATCATATATTTGTCTTTCTCTGTCTGGATTATTTCATTTAGCATAATAGCATAATGTCCTCTAGGGCCATCAGTGTTGTCACAAATAACAAGATTTCCCCTTTTTAATGCTGAATAGTATTTCATTATGTATACATACCACAATTTCTTTTTTCATGTATCTGTTGATCACTAAGGTTGTTTCTATGTTTTGGCAATTGTGAATAATTCTACAATGAAGATAGGGGGTGCAATTATCTCTTTGAGATACTGATTTTATTTCTTATAGATATATACCCAGAAGTGGGATTGCTGGATCATATGATTGTTCTATTATTTGAGAAACCACTGTATTGTTTTTCAAAATAGCTATATTAATTTACATTTCTACCAGTGATGTACAAGGATTCTTTTTTCTCCATGCCATTGCCAACCCATGTTGTCTCTTGTCCTTTTGATAATAGCCATCCTAACAGGTATGAAGTGATATTTCATTGTGGTTTTGATTTGCATTTCCCTGATAATTAGTAATGTTGACCACCTTTCAGTGAAGCTGAGCAACTGTTCATATACCTTTTGGTCATTTCAGTGTCTTATCTTTGAAAAAGTATCTATTCAGATCACATGCCCAATTTTTAAATTATGTTATCTATCTATGTACCTGTGTATGTGTGTATGTATGTATCTATTTTCTATCATCTATTTATTGAATTATATGAGAATTTTTGTGCAGAGTTTAATGGTACTGCTTTATTCATTTACATGTGAATATCAAGTTCTCTCAACACTGTTATGAAATTATCCTTTCTCCATTTTGTATTCTTACCAACCTTGAAAAAGATTATTTGACCATATATCCGTGAGCGTCTTTCTGGACTCTATTCTCTTCCATTGGTCTGTTTATCTGTTTTTATGCCAGTACCATACTGTTTTGATTACTGTATTTTTGTTATAGTTTGTCATCAGGAAGTATGATGCTTCTAGCTTTGTTTTCCTTTCTAAAGATTGATTTGGATAGTCTTAGTCTCGTGTGGTTCCAATATGAATTTTAAGATTTCTTTCTATTTCTGCAAATAATGCCATTGAGATTTTGATAGGGATTGAATCTGTAGATAGCTTTGGGTAGAATGGACATTTTAGCAATATTAACACTTCCAAACCTTGAAAATGGGATATCTTCTCATTTATTTAGATCTTCTTTCATTTCTTTTATCAGTGCTTTACAGTTTACAGTATAGAGATCTTTCACTTCCTTAATTAAATTTATTGTTATTTTATTCTTTCGGATGCTATTATGAATGGGATTGCTTTCTTAATTCTTTTTGGATAGTTATTGTTAGGGTATGGAAATACAGGTGATTTTTCTATGTTTACTTAGCATTTTGCAAATTTACTAAATGCATTTATTAATTCTAACAGTTTTTTGGTGGTGTGCTTAGGGACTTCAATGTATAAGACTATGTAATCTGCTAAGAAAGACAATTTTACTTTTTATTTTCCAATTTGGATATGTTTTGTTTTTCTTGCTCAATTTCCCTGACTAGGGCTTCCAGTACTGTGTAGAATAGAAGTATTGAGGGTAGCATTCCTGTTTTGTATCTGATCTCAGAGAAAACACTTTTGACTTTTTACCATTGAGTGTTATGTTAGCTGTGTGCTTGTTATATTCTGCCTTTATTATAATGAGATACATTCCTTCCTTACCTAATTCATTGAGAGGTTTTTTTGTTGTTGTTGTTGTTTAATTATAAAAGGATACTAAATGTTGTCAAATATTTTTCTGTTCTGCTGAGATTTTCCTGTGTTTTTTATTCTTCATTCTGTTAATGCAGCATGTCACATTTGCTGATTTGTAGATGTTAAACCATCCTTGCATCCCACATATAAATCTCACTTGGTCATGATGTATCATTCTTTTAATGTGCTGTTGAATTCTGTTTGCTAGTATTTTTTTTTAAGATGTTTGCATGTATATTCTTCTGAGATATTGACCTGTAATTTTCTTTTCTTTGAGTGTCCTTATCTGGCTCTAGTATGAGAGTAATGCTGGCTGGGTAAAATAAGTTTGGAAGTGTCCCCACCTCTTCAAATTTTTGGAAGAATTTGAGAACTATTGGCATTAATTCACTTCTAAATGCCTGGTAGAATTCATCCGTGAAACCATCAGTTCTGTTTGTTTTTAACATGATTTTTGTTGGGATCCTAACTGATTTTCAGGTTGGTTCAGCTTTTTTATTTTTTTCGTGATTCAGTCTTGGTAGGTTGTATGTTTATGGGAAATTATCCATTTCTTCTAGGTTATCCAATTTGTGGTTTTTCATTGTTCACAGTAGTCTCATTATTTTTTATTACTAATTCTGCTAAAATTTATTCATAAGATTATTGATGATTCATCTTTTGGAAATTGCATAATACATACACATACTTATAGATATATATTGATTTTCTTTTCTGTCTCACATTTTTCTTCAAGGATTCTTAGAGCACATTACATGTTAATACTGTAAATCTTTTTTATTAGACTTTACATTAACAACTTAGAATTACACAACTATTGAGAAGATAATAGTTTTCTTTAGGTTAACCCCTTATATTAGTATAGTACATTTGTTACAATTAAAGAACCACTATTAATATGCTATCTGCAAATAAAGTCTACACTTAATTCTGATTTTCTTAGTTTTTATCCAGTGTACTTTTTCTGTTTCAGGACTCCATCTAGGATACTATATCACCTTTAGTTGTCATTTCCTTAGACTCATCTTGGCTGTGATAGTTTTTCAGATTTCCTTGTTCTTGATGACCTTGCCAGTTTTAAGAAGTACTGAGCTAGTATTTTGTAGAATGTCCCTCAGGTGAGTTTTGTCTGATGTCTGTTTTATAGTTAGACTGGGATTATGGGTTTTTCGAAAAAAACCTCAGAGATAAACTATCATTTTTATCACATTGTGTCAAGGGTGCCTACTATCAAAATGATTTATCACTGCTGATGTTGACCTTGATCACCTGACAAAAGTGCTACTTCTCAGGACTCTCCAGTATAATGTTTTATATATAGATATAGATATAGATATAGATATATGTAATCTTTTAAACTTGGTGCAACCCACACATAAAGAATAGGGAATTATGCTCCCTTTCTTTGTGGGTGAAATATTTACATAAAACATTTGAAGTCCTTCTGCATTAAAGATTTAATTCATCTCTCATTTATTTTCTTATTTAATCATTATGTTATTTTGGGTACATTGATATTTATTTTATACTTTGGGTTATAATCCAATATCATTTTGTCTTATTGCTAAAATTCTTTGAGCTTTGGCCATTGGGAACTCTTTCAGGGGATCCTTTTGACATAACCCCATCACTCAAGGGTTTCTGTTTTTGTGCTTTTGAAACCTCTCTTACTTTTTAGCACTGTAAGATGCTTCAGGACTACAGGCTCATCTTTTACATTTCCTGTTTCAGTCCTAGAGCAGGCATTTCTTCATAGAAACTTTTGTTGTTGTTACTGTTGTTGTCTTTCTTATCTTTAAATTTCCATTCCAATTAGTGAGATAGTTAGATCCCAGTATCTGCCATTCCAGTCATGTAAGTTCTAATTTACATGCATAGCAGTATCAGAATTAGTAGCCTATATCTCCATGGGAAACTACTTCATCAACTAGAATACAGGGCTTATGTGCCATTTTCTTGTCCTTAGTCTTAAAACTTCACTTGTTTCCAAAGTTACTTAGGTCAATACTTGTTTCCCCAAGTAACTTCAGTGAAGTTTTTTCATACATTGAAATACTTGTTTCACCAAGTAACTTCAGTGAAGTTTTTTCATACATTTGAAATAGTACATCCTCTTTTCACCATTTTCTTTCATTTCTAGAGTCCTTAGACCTCCTAGCTTAGATGTTTTTAAAATAAATTGCATACATCGAGACTCACTTTTTGTGCTGAAAATTAGTGTTTTGATCAATGTGCAATGCCATATATCCATTACAGTGTCATAGAAAATAATTTTACTACTCTGCATTTCCTGTTTTTCATCTATTGTGCCCCCTTCCAAACTCCTGGAAACCACTGATCTGTTTAGTGTCTATAGTTTTGCTCTTTCCAATATGTTATTTAATTGGAATCATACAATATGTGGCTTTTTCATATGACTTCTTTCATGTAGCAATGTGCTAAAGTCTGCTATAATTGTGCTAAATTCATACAGTGCTGTATGTATGAATTCAGGGTTCACACATGTCTTACTGTGGCTTGACAGCTTAAATATTTTGTAGAATAATATTTTATATTGATGCAGCACAGTTTGTTCATTCATTATTGAAGGACATCTTGGTTGCTTTTAAGTTATTTTGAATAAAGCTATTATAAACATTTGTTTGCAGGTTTTTCTGTGGACATAAAGTTTCAATTCATTTTGGTAAATACCTAGGAGCTAGATTGCTGATTTATATTTTAAGACCATGTGTAAATTATAAATAACTGTCAAACTTTCTTCCAAAGTAGGTGTACCATTTTGCATTCCCACCATAAATGAACTAGAGTTTCTGTAGTTTGGCATCCTCACCAACATTTGGTATTTACATTTTAGCCATTCTAATAAATCTAAATAGGTATTTCGTTGTTATTTTGATTTCCAATTCACAGATTACAAATAGTGTTGAGCGTCATTTCATATGCTTATTTTTCATTTGTTTATTTTCTTTGGTGCAGTTCATGTTTAGACCATTTTGCCAATTTTTTAATTGGGTTGTTTTCTTATTGCTGAGTGCAAAGTGATTTTTGTATCATTTGAATACAATTTTTTCTTATATAATTATATAATAAATATATTATTATATTTGAGTTTGCAAATGTTTTCACCCAGTGTGTGGCTTATATTTTAATTATCTTTATAGGGTATTTTGCAAACAGAAGTGTTTAATGAAGTGTAACCTAATTAACTTTTTCTAGCATGGATCATACTTTTGGTGTTGTACTAAAACACTCATACCAAACCCAAAGTCATCTAGATTTTCTCCCATGTTAACTTACAAAATTTTTATGGTTTTTCATTTCATATATTTATATATAGGCCTATGATCCATTTTGAGTTACTTTTTGAGGAAGGTGTAAAGTTTGTGTCTTATTTCTTCTCTTACTTCTCCTCCTCCTCCTCCTCGTCCTCTTCTCCTCCTTCCTTTTCCCTCATTCTGCTCCTTCTCCTTTCTTTCTCTTTCTTCCTCTCTTTCTTGCTAATGGATTTCTGACAACTTCATCACCATTTGTTGAAAAGACTTTTTTTTAAATCTATTGCTTTTCCTTCGTCCGTTTGTCAAAGATCAGTTCGCCTATATTTGTGATGGCCAATTTCTGGAACTCTATTTTGTAACAACGTCTGTTTCCTTTTTTTCACCAGTACTGCACTCTAACTTTGTAGTAAGTCATGAAATCACAGTGTAAGTCCTCCAGTGTTGTTCCTTTTCGTCAGTATTGTGTTGATTCTTCCACATCTTTTTTTTTCCACATAAACTTGAAAATCTGTTTGTCAACATCTACCAGATAGCTTATTGGGAGTTTCATTGGGCTTTTTTTGAGCCTATGCTTAATTTTGAGAGATTCATCATTTTAACCATAAACCCCTTCCAGTAAATGAACACTTAATATAAAAGTAACACATTTGATTATCTGTCTTCAGTACATGCAATAATTATGAATTAAAATTTATGGCCGGGCGCGGTGGCTCACGCCTGTAATCCCAGCACTTTGGGAGGCCGAGGCAGGTGGATCACAAGGTCAGGAGATCGAGACCATCCTGGCTAACACGGTGAAAGCCCGTCTCTACTAAAAAATACAAAAAAAAAAATTAACCGGGCATGGTGGCAGGTGCCTGTAGTCCCAGCTACTCAGGAGGCTGAGGCAGGAGAATGGCGTGAACCCGGGAGAGGGAGCTTGCAGTGAGCCGAAATCGCGCCACTGCACTCCAGCCTGGGCGACAGAGAGAGACTCAGTCTCAAAAAAAACAAAAACAAAACAAAAAAAATTATGTTATACTTTATGCAAATTTGATTTTGGATCTGTCAATATATAAATCTATGAAGAAATTATTTTGGTTTATGAGTTGATGCAAGAGTAAATTGCTTTTTCTTTATTCTCTGACCTGTAAATTATTATTTATCAAGCACTAATTTTTATACAAGAAAGGTCTACTTTTCCATTTCTAACACTGTGCCAGTGTCAGTCACCTGGTTCTATTAATTATGGTTTTGTTATACTTTTTGATGTTTAACAGGACTTATACATTGTTACCCTTTCCCATCCAAAGTATTATTGCCTAATTTTATAAAGGCTGACTAAAATGTTAAAATACACACGTTTCATTTTATGACAGTTATAAAAATACTCTACTTATCTTCCGAATTTCTGCCTCTCTTCGACCTCAATCCTAATTTCCATATCCATTCTAAGAAAGTGATTTCTGGGAGTGGGGAAGGATGAAAGAAAAATAAATAGAATATTATAAATTGTTTACAATATATTCCATTTATTGTCTCCAAAATTAGAGCTTTGATGTTTGAAGTAATATGAACAGAAAGAAGATTATTATAGAACTTATTTCTGGGAAATGTAGTTTCTGTAAATTGTATGGACTTAGTAAATTAAGCACTGAAATGCTTCTGTAGATCGAAGTGGTATCGTAGGAATCTCAGGAAATAAAGTTGAATTGAATTGGTAGTTGTCTTTGCAAATCAACTCTTGTTCTGTAATTCTGAGGAGATTGACTAGTAGTCCTAAAGCTACCATATAAATTTAAAATAACAACATACATGCAGACAAACAAAAACAACTATAACATCTTCTTCTCGAGAAGAAGATTTTTGGATACTCTAGGCATTCCTCAAAAAAAAGTGGTAGTAATCAATGCTTATAAAAAACAGAGTCAGAGTTTCCTAAAGAAAGAATATGCTGGGATGTATGTAAACAAAACAAAGCAGGATTATATGAAAAGAGAAGTAAGAGAATTATCCTGAACGATATTAAGGAAAGTTTTTAAAAAGTTGTAAAATATGAATTTACATTTAAGATGTTATATGTTAAAACTGAGACTGTATCAGTTATGTATTAGTCAAGGTTCTCTAGAGGGACAGAACTAAGAGGATATATATATATATATATATCTCCATATATATATATATATATCCTCATATATATATCCTCATATATATATGTCCTCATATATATATATCCTCATATATATATGTCCTCATATATATATATCCTCATATATATGTCCTCATATATATATATCCTCATATATATGTCCTCATATATATGTCCTCATATATATATGTCCTCATATATATGTCCTCATATATATGTCCTCATATATATATGTCCTCATATATATATATATATGTCCTCGTATATATATATATATATGTCCTCATATATATATATATGTTTATTAAGTATTAACTTACATGATCACAATGTCCCACAATAGGCTGTCTGCAAGCTTCAGGAGCAAGGAGAGCCAATCCGAGTCTCAAAACTGATGAACTTGGGGTCCAATGTTCGAGGGCAGGAAGCATCCAGCATGGGAGAAAGATGTAGGCTGGGAGGCTAGGCCAGTCTCACCTTTTCACATTTTTCTGCCTGCCTTATATTCACTGGCAGCTGATTAGATGGTGCCTACCCAATTAAGCGTGGGTCTGCCTTCCTCAGTTCACTGACTCAAATGTTAATTTCCTTTGGCAGCACCCTCACAGACATACCCAGGATCAATATGTTGCATCCTTCAATCAAGTTGACAGTATTAACCATCACAAGTCCACCCCTTGTCAATTTGAACCCATACACATCTCCTGAGATCATACATAATCTTCAAATAAAGACAATCATAAGGTCATAATTATGCCTAACATAATACGACTATGCTTCATACAACTGGAAACTCACCAGTCCTCAGCCCAAATACTATCACATAAAGTTAACAATACTTAAATGCCAATATGAAGTCAATAAATCTTATGTCACATGATAAACAAAAAGGAAATAAAATGAAGATATTTTCTTAGTATAAGTATATGCATGCACCAACATGTTTTTAACAAAAGAAGGAGAAAATACTCATGACAGTTATAGTACTCATTTCTGCGGCTGGTCATGTGCTTGTAGCTGGTATTCATAACTACCTTCTTTTACTACCCATTCTTTATCCCCTTTGCCTTCAGCAAGCACTTCAGCAGGTCATGTTTTTTTTTTTTTGTTTTGTTTTGTTTTGTTTTGTTTTTCCTGGTGGAGTGACCCAAACCATCATTCCTGAGAGGTCTGGACCATTTGTATTCCTTCCTGGATTGGGCATTTGTTTCCCATTGACCTTAATCACAAGGCATGGTAATACTAAGACATGCCCTAATGGATCTCTTATATTCCATGCATACTCTTTCTTACCTCTGTAATGGAGTAATAGACTAATTTCATCTTGATAGTCTGTGTCAGTCACCCCAGCCAACTCTGTAGCTCTCTTCTTAGCCTGTTGACTTAAAAGTAGGAGGAGCCCTAAATGTCCAGGTGGCAATCTTAACCTCCAGTTTAATGGAATCATTGTTGTGTCTCCTGATGGCAGTGTTCCTCCTTCTGGAGCTAAGACCTCTAGGCAAGCAGAACATAATGTCGTGAGAACAGGAAGCAAAAAATTTGCTAGTCGATCACTGGAGTGATGGTGAGGGGTGCCACTTCCACTTCAACACCTTGATTGCTGGACTTGTGAATCCTGGCTATGGGAGAAACTGTACCATATATTGGACGCTGATTCAGAGCATACGTGGCCTTTTGGAGATCTTTGTCCCAGCCCTGCAAAGTATGTCACCTAGTTGGCATTGTAATTGTGACTCCAAAAGGCCATTCCACCATTCTATCAATCCAGCAGCATCAAGATAATGGGAAAGATGGTAAGACCTGTGAATTCCGTGAGCATGAGCCCACTGCCGCACTTCTTTAGCTGTAAAGTGAGTGCCTTGGTCAGAGGCAATGCTGTGTGGAATACCATGACGATGGATAAGGCACTCTGTGAGTCCACGGATGGTAGTCTTGGTAGAAGCATTGTGTGCAGGATAGGCAAACCCATATCCGGAGTAAGTGTCTATTCCAGTTAGGACAAACCTCTGCCCTTTCCATAATGGAAGAGTTCCAATATAATCAACCTGCCACCAGGTAGCTGGCTAATCATCCTTAGGAATGGTGCCATATCTAGGGCTCAGTTGTCTCTGCTGCTGGCAAATTGGGCACTCAGCAGTGGCTGTAGCCAGGTCAGCCTTGGTAAGTGGAAGTCCATGTTGCTGAGCCCATGCATAACCTCCATCCCTGCCACCATGGCCACTTTGTTCATGGTCCCATTGGGCAATGACAGGGGTGGCTGGGGAAACAGGCTGAGTGGTATCCACAGAATGGGTCATCCTATCCACTTGATTATTAAAATCCTCCTCTGCTGAGGTCACCCATTGGTGAGTACTCACACGGGATACAAATATCTTCATGGTTTTTGATCACTCAGAGAAGTCCATCCACATACCTCTTCCCCAGATTTCTTTGTCACCAATTTTCCAATCATGCTTCTTCCAAGTTCCTGACCATCCAGCCAAACCATTGGCTCCAGCCCATAAATCAGTATATAATCACACATCTGGCCATTTCTCCTTCCATGTAAACTGCACAACCAGGTGCGCTGCTCGAAATTCTGCCCACTGGGAAGATTTTCCTTCACTGCTGTTCTTCAGGGATGTCCCAGAAAGGTGCTATAGTGCTGCAGCTGTCCACTTTCGGGTGGTGCCTGCATATCATGCAGAACCATCATGAACGAGGCCCTAGTCTTCTCTTCCCCTGTCAGCTGATTATAGGGAACTCCCCATGTGGCCATCAGTGCAGACTGGGGGAGAGAAGGCAGGGTGGCAGGAATGGAGACCATGGGCATTTGAGCCACTTTCTCATGTAACTTACTTGTGCCTTCAGGACCTGCTCAAGCCTGATCACATATATACCACTTCCATTTGATGATGGAATGCTGCTGTGCATGACCCACTTTATGGCTAGATGGGTCAGAAAGCACCCAGTTCATGATAGATAATTCAGGTTGCATGGTGACTTCATGACCCATAGTCAAACATTCAGTTTCTACCAAAGCCCAGTAAGAGGACAAGAGCCATCTCAAAAGGAGAGTAATTATCTGCAGAAGATGGCAGGACCTTGCTCTTAAATCCTAGAGGCCTCCACTGTGATTCACCTATAGTGGCCTGCCAAGGCTCCAAACAGCATCCCTACCTGCCCTGACACCTCAAGCACCATTGGATCTGCCAGGTCATATGGCCCAAGTGGTAGAGCAGGTTGCACAGCAGCCTGGACCTATTGCAGAGCCTTCTGTTCTGGAGCCCACTCAAAACTGGCAGCCTTTTGGGTCACTTGATGAACGGGACAGAGTAACACACCCAAATGAGGAATGTGTTACCTACAAAATCCAAATAGGCCCACTAGCTGTTGTGTCCCTTCCTTGGTTGTAGGAGGGGGCAAATGCAGCAACTTATCCTTCACCTTAGAAGGAATATCTCAACAAGCCTCACACCACTGGACCCCTAGAAATTTTACTGAGGTATAGGGTCCCTGAATTTTAGTCGGATTTATTTCCCATCTTCTGGTACGTAATTGTCTCACCAATAAGTCGAGTGTGTTTGCTACTTCTTGCTCACTGGATCCAATCAGCATAATGTCTTCAATGTAATGGACCAGTGTGATATCTTGTGGAAGCGAAAAACAATCAAGGTCTCTCCGAATAAGATTATGACACAAAGCCAGAGAGTTGACATACCTCTGAGGTAGGCTAGTAAAGTTATATTGCTGGCCTTGCCAGCTAAAGGCAGATAGCTTCAGGTGGACCTTATGCACAGGAATGGAGATAAAGGCCTTTGCCAAGTCAATGACTACATATGAGGTACCAGGAAATGTGTTAATTTCCTCAAGCAGTGAATCCAAATTTGGTACAGCGCTGAAATTGGAGTCACCACCTAGTTAAGCTTATGATAATCCACTCTCATTATCCAGGATCTGTCTGTCTTCTGCACAGGCCACATAGGAGATTTGAAAGGGGACATGGTAGGAATCACCACCCCTGTGTCCTCAAGTCCTTGATGGTGGCACTAATCTCCCCAATCCCTCTGGGGATGTGATATTGTTTTTTATTTACTATTTTTCTAGGTAGAGGCAGCTCTAATGGCTTCCATTTGGCTTTTCCCACCGTAATGGCCTTCACCCTACCAGTGATAGCTAATGTGGAGGTTTTGCCAGCTGCTAAGTATGTCTATGCCAATTATGTATTCTGGCACTGGGGAAGTGACCACAGGATGAATCTGGGGATCCACTGGACCCACTGTAAGTTGGACCTGAGCTAAAACTCCCTTAATTACCTGACCTTCACAAGCTACTATTTTAACTGGAAGACCACAATGATGTTTTGGATCCCTTGGAATCAATCTCAGCTCAGAACCAGTGTGCAGTAGTCCTTGAAATGTCTGATCATTTGCCTTTCTCAGTGCACAGTTACCCTGATAAAAGGCCAGAGGTATCCTTGGGAAAGGATGGGAGAAAGATTCACTGTATAAATTGTCGGTAATGTAGTGGGGTCCTTCCTCAAGGGTACCCTGTCTCCCCTTCATTCAAGCGGTTCTGGGTCTGTAAACTGGTTCAAGTCTGGAAATTGATTGAGAGGCTGTGATTCTCTGTTTTTATAATTCAAATTAGTCTTTTGTCCATTCGACCTAGAAGTTTTCTCTTTATATAAATTAAGTAGGAATGCAGTAGGCTTCTTGTCAATTTCACTTCTAGTAACACCGTGATTAATTAGCCAATGCCAGAGCTCTACGCTAGTCAGACTATTCTGATTGTTGCTTTGTCTCTGCTGTCAATTATGATAGCTATGCCCACCTTGCCTTTGACAGTTCAGTGCCACCACTTGGCCCCTGCCGCCTTGGGATTCAGTTATTCCCATTGCATTTAAATTTTGTGGTCGAGTGACTGTGGTTCCCACTGTTAGATCCGACATACAGATTAGAGCAATTACAGGGCTCTGTAAAGATACAGGTGCTGCCCTTACACATCTATTTCACAAGGCGTTAGTGAAGGGTAAATCTGGACCCCTCCCAGCTGGGATGAGTAGGTCTAAAGGGATTAATCCACTCCAATATCCCAATCTCCCTAAGCCTTTGGATTCCTTCCTCTACATTAAACCAAGGGAGATCAGGCATTTCCAGCTCACTCAGGGTGGGCCATCTTTTCATACATATTTCAGCTAACCAAGCAAATAAACTAAAAACCTTTTTTAGCTCTTGAACTTCAACTTTAAATGCAGATTTCCTACTTAGTGGGCCCAAATCAATAAATTCAGCCTGATTGAACTCTATGTTCCTTCCACCATTATCCCATACCCTTAATATCCATTCCCATGCCTCTTCTCCAGATTGCTCTTTATATAGAGAACTCAAACAGTTCTTTTTGAGTGTAGCACACCTCCTCATGGGTCGCACTTTCAAACTCACCTCCAGGGGCCCGCCAGGACTTTAGTCTAGTCATAGGTGTAAACGCAAACAGGGGTGTTGGGGGTGGCTTAATGGGGAGAATCAACATTTTCTTGCCTGACAACCGCCTCAGGGGAGGCCATCTCTGTTGCCTCAGGCAGCACAGGGTTTATCTCCTCAGATGAAAGTGGAAAGGCTATGGCAGTGTGGGTCAGGGAGGGGATGTTGCCACTACTGGGTATGGGGAAGCTGTTCCTTCTGGCCAAAAAGTTCATCAAAGTTTACAAACTCAGTGTCCCCAGCTTCATCAGGGTCCTCCCACACATTCCCATTCTGGGTTGCAGGGTCCCATTCTTTTCCAATCAATGCCCCCAGTTTAACAGTAGACACCTGGCGAGGCTGTGCATGCACCTTTCGTTGTAGGTCAGCCACTCGCATGGTAAGAGCTTGTGTTTCTGTCTTTCCACAATTTCAGCTCTTTCTCTAGAGGAGATAAGACTCTCACACAGGGTAATCTTAGCTGATTTGAGGCTCAGTATCTGCTTTTGAAGCCAGTGAGTTCATCATCACTTTGTCCTCTGAATTTAGAAGCAACGAACCAGCTTCATTATGCTCCTTGGTTCTCCACGTATGATTAAAGGTATTATGTATAGCGTGACTAAACTTCTTGCCTCTCAGAAGTGGTGAATCAGGAGTGTCAAATGTATTTATTTTTCATAGCTCATGCCAAGGTCTATCAGTGTTCTCCATACTATTAGAAGTAGAGTCCTTAGCATTTTGGGGTCTAATCATATTAAGCAGCCAACTCCAGCAACCCCAAAACCAGTGAAAGAACTCCATCCTTAATATTCTGTTCCTCTAGAACCACTCCTGGTGCCAAAATCTGTATTAGGCAGGGTTCTCTAGAGGGACAGAACTAATAGGATAGATAGATATATATGTATAAAGGGGAGTTTATTAAGTATTAACTTACATGTTCACAAGGTCCCACAATAGGCTGTCTTGAGGAGCAAGGGGAACCAGTCCGAGTCTGAAAACTGAAGAACGTGGAGTCCGATGTTCCAGGGCAGAAAGCATCCAGTACAGAAGAAAGATGTAGGCTGAGATGTAGGCTAGGTCAGTCTCGCCTTTTCATGTTTTTCTGCCTGCTTTATATTTGCTGGCAGCTGATTAGATGGTGCTCACCCAATTAACGGTGGGTCTGCCTTCCCCAGTCCACTGACTCAAATGTTAATCTCCTTTGGCAACACCATCACAGACACACCCAAGATCAATACTTTGCATCCTTCAATCAAGTTGACAGTATTAACCATCACAAGTGACATGAGCAAATAAATACTCCTCAAGAAAACAGAATAAAATGACATAGTTTTATAAAAACAATACTAAAGATTATTTTTGTGAATACAGCATACTAGTATTAAGAAATTAGTATTTGGCTGGGCATGGTGGCTCAGGCCTGTATTCCCAGCACTTTGGGAGTCCGAGGCAGGTGGAACACTTGAGCCTAAGAATTTGAGACCAGTCTGGGCAACACTGCGAAACCCTGTCTCTACAAAAAGTACAAAAATTAGCTGGGGGTGTTGGCCTTCATCTGTGGTTCCAACTACTTAGGAGGCTGAGACAGGAGGATTGCTTGAGCCTAGGAGTTCAAGGCTGCAGCGAGCCATGATCACACCACTGCACTCCAGCCTGGGCAACAGAGTGAGAACCTGTGTCAATTTTTTTTTTTTGAAAAAAGGAAGTTAGTATTCATTATTATATTTTAATATATCTTTTACTAAATATTCATGTATTTTGCTTTCTTCGGAATATCAATGATTGCAAAGGCTGAGGGCAAATATTTATATAGAGCTCTCTCTAATAATAAAAACATACTATAAACTGTGTTGCCAAAAATGCTGTCCACATCCATGTGGTTATTGAACACTTAAAATGTGGCTATAGCAACTGAAGATCTAAATTTTTATTTTTCTATAATTTTTAACTAATTAAATAGCCACACATGGCGAGTGGCTATGTATTGGACAGGGCAGGAGAGAGGATAGATTAGGGATGTTGTAATTTTATTGATTAAAGTATTTTGTTTTCAAAATACAATTTCTATAGACTTTATCTAATCATCTACCTCCTGTCAATTATCTATTTTTGAGGTACATTTTACAAATGGCAAGTTCACAAATTTAATGTGTACAGCTAATTTGTTTTTTTTACTTATGTCAGTACTCACATAAACACTGTGCAGATTAAAATTTAGAATGCTGCTGAGGCAGGAGAATGGTGTGAACCCGGGAGGCGGAGCTTGCAGTGAGTCAAGATAGTGCCAATGCCCTCCAGCCTGGGCGACAGAGCGAGACTCCGTCTCAAAAAAAAAAAAAAAGAAATTAGAATGCTTTTAACATTCCAGAATGTTTTCTTGTGTCCCTTTCCAGTCAGTATCTCCTTTAAAGGGTAATCACTAGTCTGACAACTATCATCAGAAGTTAATTTGGGTTGTTTGGAAATAAGATAAATAAAGTAATGATTTTTACTTTTGTATCTAACTTCTCACTATGATCCATTCATATTTATTGGATGGATTCATATTTATTGGATGCATACAGATGCATCCATTCTGTATTTATTACTAATGTGTTGTTTTCTTTTGCTCTTTACTGTTCTATTTTATAAATATTCTGCACTTTTTAACTTACTTCAATAGTAGTTATACTTAGAATGATTTAACTATTATTCAATCATAAATAAAACTCTTATGAACATTCTTCTGAATATATATATACATATACACGTTCTGACTGTGCACCACATAAGAACATTTTCATCAACAGTAGACCACATATGCACAGGTGGCCACATAAGCTTGCAGTGGATCTAAGAAATTCCATGGCCTAGTGATGTAGCATTACCTTTTGTATACTTACATACAAAATTATTTACCATTGTGTTAGTTACCTACAGTATTTAGTAGAGTATCATGCTGTATGAGGTTGTAGCCTAGGAGCAATTGATTATACCATATAGCCTGGATATGTAGTAGGCTGCACTATCTAGGTTTGTGTAAGTACATTCTATGATGTTCACACAAGGATAAATTTCCTAATGACACATTCCTCAGAATCAATCCCTATCATTAAGTAAAGCATATATATATATATATATAGAGAGAGAGAGAGAGAGAGAGATAAAATAGCATATATATACATGTGTGTAATTTTAGTTGAGTTTTAGCAAGCTATAAAGAGAGTTTGATTAAGTGTTTTGTACAGTATACATTCCTACCAGCAATGTAAGAGAGAATATATTTTAGATTTACTGATCATAGAACAGTTAAATATGTTGACCAATATCATACAACTAATAAATGGCAAAACTCAGATTTAAACAAGGGAATTTACATTGAGACTCTCTTCTTAGACACCAAGTTAATCCATAAACAACTAAACAAATAAACAAAAAGTTACCAGACTGAAACAAAAAGAAACAGAAACTTGAGTTATCCTAATAATAAAAGACATTGAAGTAATGTTTTAAAAGTACATAAATAAAATTCCAGAATTAGACTTCATCTTTGATTCATTCTACCAATAATTAAGGGAATAGATATTTTAAAATTCATGGAAACTTTTTCAGATAGAAAGAAACAATACTCCAGTTAATGTTATTAGCTTACTGTAACTTTGCTACAAAATTCAAAAAAATAATTTGAAAGGAAAACAAAGCCCATTCACACTAATTAATATATAATAAAAAATACTACTCAAGTTTTTTTTTTCAAGATAGCTGACTAGAAGCATTTCAGACACACCCCATCTACTTAGAAGAACCAATATAGTGTGTGCACAATCATACTTTGAATGCATTATCCAAGAGGGGACATAGTTCAACAGAAAATAGACAAGAAAGGTGAAAAGGTAGGAAGGAGAAAGAAAACCATAGACTTGCCTGGCCAGTACTGGCTGGGAACTAAAAGTGGCTCCCCAATGTGGGAGAAGGTGAGTCAGAGTTTCTCTGCAGTCCACTTTTCCAATAGGGAATTATACAATCCAGGCTACCAGAGAGAACCTTGACCTCCCAAATCCTGAATCTAATTTAGGAAGTGGCCAAGAGACTATGAGTAGGAACTGCTCCAGAGAAGGAAGATGCCATGGATCCCATGCCTTTTCTGAAACCTAAGTTGCTACAGCAAGATGCCATTCTTCATCCTAGCTTTTAATAGACTATGGTCCTGGAAGCCAACAGCACAAGCCCTAAGCATTGGGAAAACTCAGGCTGCTGCTTGCAGAACTGAGCCATGGGTGTGGGGTGTGATCCTTCAACCAGGACTGAGAAGTGAACATGGTGTGGACTGTAGCTACTGGCCCTGAAAGCAGGTAGTGCACCTGTGACTTGAATGGGATGAGAGTTGCCATGGAGGCTTGGTCTTGAGCTTGGCAAGAGGTCCTATTGTCTGGGGCTGAGTTGTGGGCATAAGCTGCTGGGTCTCACGGAAGAGCTGGATCACCTGTGGAAGTCAGACTGGGGAGTGAGACCCTCCAGGACAAGGGCATGAGAAGGATGCAAGGCCCCTACACTGGCCAATCCTGTGGCCCTTTGGGCCAATCCTACCCTCCCAATGGCAAGATCTCAGCACAGTGGTTGTTGCCAGTCACCCAATAATTCTGCTAGGAGCCTGAGCATTTCCCACCCCCACCCCTCATGGCTGGTGCCTGCACTTGCCATTGGGGGACCTGGGTGCAGGATTGCCCAGTAGGCTGTAAGCAGATTCACCTCATACCCCAAGACACAATGCAGGATCCAGGGTCCTGAGGGGCGTACAACCCAGTCTGTTACCTGGTTCACACAAACACTCCTCCCAAAGGCCTGAGCTTGGGAATTAGCACCCTACCATTACCTCCTCAGTGCCTACTACCTGCAAATGCCACCTGCTGGTCTGTAAGTTAGCCTACACAGCTCATTGCAACCACTGCCAATACAAGTGCATAGTACTTAGGAACCAGAAAAGCCTCTCATCCTTCTACTGCCATCACCATGCCACATTTGCTGCCCAAAGGCTTGGGAGCTTTCTCACCAACCTGGTACACACTACTACAAACAACATCCAAGAAAGCTACCCAAAGACCCAATAATTGGCTTGCCTGGAACCAGCAACACACGTGCCAGTGTACACTGGCCCAGGGCACAATAATACACATGCTGCTACTACTAAAACCTGAAGACAGATCCATCTGGCATTTCAGTCCTCAGCACAGCTTCACCAGAGCCTCTACCAGTAACCACACCCTAACACACTGAGGAAACCACAGATATCATGCTGTATATAGCTTTTAAAAAAGTCATACAGAGACTCCATTACTGCATTCACAGAAGCAAAGCCAACAGGGCTTCGTAGTCATAACATGATAGTCATATCTTCAAGAAACAATGCAAAAGTGCCCCCCGAAAACAAAACTAAATTTAAAACTAGGAAGAAGTTTTGAATGTAGTTTTGACTAAATACCAGACGTACAGAAAAGTAAAGACACAGGAAATGTGAAAAAATAAGATGATATGACACCCTCAAAGAGCACAATAATTCTCCAGGAACAGATCTTAACCAAAAGGATCTTCTCAAAATTCCAGATAAATAATTCAAAATATTGATTTTAAATAAGCTCAATGAGAAATGTGTGGAATCTAAAACCAGTTCAAAGAAATTACAAAAATGATTCAATGTATGAATGAGAAATTCACTAAAGAGATAGATTTAAAAATACACAGAGAATTATGGAACTTAATAATTCATTGTGGGAAACACAAAATATATTGGAAAGGTTGAATAATGCACCACAGAATAAAGAATTACACAATTTGAATACAGACCTCTGAAATAATAAAGTTAGACAAAAATAAATAACAAAGAATGAAAATGTACAAAGCATTTGAGACATTTGGGACAACATAATGCAACTAAATGTATGAATTATCAGTATCTCCAAGGGCAAAGAAATAAAAAACTTTAGCAAACCTATTTAACAAGCTAATAGATGAAAACCTTTTTAAGTCTAGCAAAAGATTTAGACATCCAGATAGAGGAGGCTAAGTGATGCCATGAAAATAAAATACAAATAGGACTGTGCTAAGACCCATTGTAATTAGACTTTCTAAAGAGCAAATTTAAAAAACAGAAACATGTTCAGTCACTTGAAAAGAAAGTCCTATCTGACTAACAGTGGAACTCTCAGCAGAACTTGAAGACAAGAAGAGAATGTGATGATATATTCAAAGCACTGAAAAGGAAAAAAAAAATGCCAGCCAATAATTTTATATCTGGTAAGATTAAGCTTCACAAATGAAATAATGTCTTTCCTAGACAAGAAATTACTGAAAAAAATTGTCACCATAAAAGAAGTTCTCTATGGAGTCTTTTTATTTATTTATTTATTTATTATTTTTTGAGACAGAGTTTCACTCTTGTCGCCCAGGCTGGAGTGCAATGGCACGATCTCGGCTCACTGCAATCTCCGTCTCCTGGGTTCAAGCGATTCTCCTCCCTCAGCGTCCCAAGTATCTGGGATTACAGGTGCCTGCCATCACGCCCAGCTAATTTTTGTATTTTTAGTAGAGATGGGGTTTCACCATGTTGGCCAGGCTGGTCTCAAACTCCTGACTGCAAGTGACCCACCTGCCTTGGCCTCCCAAAGTGGTGGAATTACAGGCATGAGCCACCGAGCCTGGCCTCAGTGGAGTCTTAAACTTGTACACAAAAGGAAAAATTTACTATTATGAGAAAATATGAAAGTATAAAACTATTTGGTAAAGCAATCACACAAAGGAGGAAGTGAAAGGAATCAAATGGCACCACTATCAAATTTTACCAAACCACAATGACAAATACAGAAAAAGAAACAAAGATTTTATAAAACAGCTGGAAAACAGTTAACAATATGACAGAAGCAAAATCTCACATATAAATGCTAATCCTGAATGTCAATTGATTAAATGCCCTACTTAAAAGATATAGACTGCCTGGATGGATTACAAAACATAATCCAACTATATGCTGCATTTAAGAAACTCACCTTACTTGTAAAATATAGAAAGAGAAATTTAAGAAAAAGGGGTGGAAAAAGATATTTGATACACACAGAAACCAAAAGTGAGTAGGAGTAGCTGTACTTCTATCAGATAATACAAACTTTAACTCAAAAAAAGTGAAAAAAGACCAAAAAAGCCATTATATAATGATAAAAGGATAAATTCAATAAGAGGATATTAATGATTCTAAATATATATGCATCCAAGATTGTGGGACTCAGATTTATAAATATTACTAAAGAGTGAGATAGACAAAGGGGAATTTAACACCCTACTTACAGCATTAGACAGATTATATAGACAGAAAATCAACCAAAAAAATTGAACTTAAATTGGACTTTAGACCAAATGGACCTAAGATATATTTGCAGAACATTATATACCTTGTCTTCAGCACATGGAACATTCTACAAGATGGACCATATGTTAGGACACAAAACACGTCTCAATAGACTAAAAAAAATAACAAAATCATGTCAAATATCTTCTCAGACCACAGTGGAATAAAACTGGAAATTAATACCAGAAGAAACTGGAAAATATGCAAGTACATGGAAATAAAATAACATGCTCCTGAATGAGCATTGAGTCAACAAAGAAATTAAGATGGAAATAAAATTTTGAAAATAAATGAAAATGGAAACAATACATCAAAACTGTAGGATATAACAAAAGCAATACTAAGTGAGAAGTTTATAGTGTTAAATGCCTACATCAAAAAAGTAGAAAGATTACAAATTAACAATGTAATGATGCACTTCATTACAAGGAACTAGAAAAGCAAGAACAAATCAAACAAAATTTGCAGAAGAAAAGAACAGAAATCAGAGAGGAGAACTATATGAAATAGAGAATGCAAAGGGTTAATGAAATGAAATATTGGCTCCTCAGAAATATAAAAAAAAATAATAAGCTGTTAGCTAGTCTAACCAAGAAAAGAAGGAAGACCCACCTAAAAACCAAAAATAAAAAAAGTAGGCATTACAATGGATGCCACAGAAATAAAAACAAAAAAACTATTGTGCACAACTGTACACCCACAAACTTGAAAACCTACAAAAGATGGATAAATCCCTGGAAACATACCACCAACCAAGGTTGAACCAGAAAGAAATGGAAAACATGAGCAGATGAATAATGACTCAAAAGATTGAACCTGCAATTAAAAAAAAAATCTCCCAACAAAGAAAAGACCAAGAACTTATGTATTCACAGCCAAATTATTTCAGTGTACAAGGAAGAATGAATACCAATCCTCCTGAAACAGTTCTAAAAAAACCAAAGAAGAGGACATTCTCCCTAACTAATTCTGTGAGGCCAGTATCATTCTGATACCAAAATCAGTGAAGGACACATCAAAAAAGAAGACTACAGACTAATAAACCTGATTAACATATATGCAAAAATCCTCAACAAAATACTAGCAAACCAAATTTAACAGCACATTAAAAAGATAATATAGTTTTAAATTGGGTAACATGATATCTTAAGCTTTTTTCTATTTAAGACTGCTTGGGCTATTGGGGCTCTTTTTTGGTTTCATATGAATTTTAAAATGTTTTTCTCTAGATCGGTGAAGAATATCATTGGTAGTTTGATAGGAATAGCATTGAATCTGTGAATTACTTTGGACAATATGGCCATTTTAATATTTATTCTTATCCATGAGCATGGAATGTTTTTCCATTTGTTTGTGTAATCTCTGATTTCTTTCAGCAGTGTTTTGCAATTCTCACCGTAGAGATCTTTCACCTCCCTTGTTAGCTGTATTCCTAGACATTTTATTCTTTTGGCAGCAATTATGAATGGGATTGCATTCCTGATTTGGCTCTCAGCTTGGCTGTTGGTGTATAGGAATGCTAGTGATTTTTGTACATTGATGTGTCCTGAAACTTTGCTGGAAGTTGTTTATCAGCTGAAAAAGCTTTTGGGCCGATACTATGGAGTTTTCTAGATATAGAATTATGTCATCTACAAAGAGGGATAATTTGGCTTTCTCTCTTCCTATTTTGATTTCCATTATTTTTTACTCTTGCCTGATAGCTCTGGCCACGACTTCCAATACTATGTTGAGTAGGAGTGGTGAGAGAGGGCATCCTTGTCTTGTGCTGGTTTTTAAGAAGATTGCTTCTAGCTTTTGCCCATTCGGTATGATGTTGGCTGTGGGTTTGTTATAGATGGTTCTTATTATTTTGAGTTATGTTCCTTCAATACATACTTTATTGAGTGTTTTTAACATGAAGGGATGTTGAATTTTATTGAAAGCCTTTTCTGTGTCTATTGACAGAATCATGTGGTTTTGTATTTGGTTCTGTTTATGTGATAAATCACATTTATTGTGTTGTTTATGTTGAACCAAACTTGCACCCTGGGGATGAAGACTACTTATCATGATGGATTAGCTTTTTGATGTGCTGCTGGGTTTCATTTGCCAATATTTTGTTGAGGATTTTTGCATCAAGGTTCGTCAAGGATATTGGTCTGAAGTTTCCTGGTTTTTTTTGTTTTGTTTTGTTTTGTTTTTTTGATGTATCTCTGCCACATTGGTATCAGGATGATGCTGGCCTCATAGAGTAAGTTGGGAAGGAGGCCCTCCTCCTTACTTTTCAGAATAGTTTCAGTAGGAATGGCGCCAGCTCTTCTGTGTACATTTGGTAGAATTCCACTGTGTTTTTGTCTGGTCCTGGGCTTTTATTACTATTTATTACTGATGGAGCTCCTTGCCGGTCTGGTCCCAGAATCAATTTCTTCCTAGTTCAGTCTTGTGAGGGTGTATTTTTCCAGAAATTTATCTGGGTCTTCTAGTTGTTTTTGTTTTTGTTTTTTTTTTTTTAGTTTTTGTGCACAGAGGTGTTTGTGGTAGTTTCTGATGGTTGTTTTTATTTTTGTGGTCAGTGGTTATATCCCTTTTGTCATTTCTAATTGTGTTTATTCGAATCTTCTCTCTTTTCATCTTTATTTGTCTAGCTAGTGGCCTATCTTGTTAATTTTTTCAGAAAACAAATTCCTGGATTTGTTGATGTTTTGAATGGTTTTCATGTCTTAATTTCCTTCAGTTCAGCTCTGATTTTGTTTATTTCCTTTCTGCTAACTTTGGGGTTGATTTCTTTTTGCTTCTCGAACTTTTTGGTTGTGATGTTAGCTTGTTAATTTGAGATCTTTCTAACTTTCTGATGTGGGTTTTTACTGCCATAAATTTTCCTCTTAATGCTGCCTTTGTTGTATCCCAGTGATTCTAGTATGTTGTATCTTCGTTCTTATTAGTTTCAAAGAACTTCTTGATTTCTGGATTAATTTTACTACTTACCGAAAAGTGATTCAGGAGCATATTGTTTAATTTCCATAAAATAGCATGGTTTTCAGTGATTTTTAAAATCTTCATTTCCATATTTATGGTGCTGTGGTCTAAGAATGTGTTTAATATGATTTCAGTTCTTTTGCATTTGCTGAGGATTGTTTTATGTTTGATTGTATGGACAAACCCTCATGACACAAGTTTACCCACATAACAAACATGCACATGTACCTCTGAACCTAAAATAAAAGTTTTTTTTAAGAGTTGCCTACACAAAAAATAAAAAAGACAATATACCATGATCAAATGAGTTTTATATGAGGGATGCAAGAATGGTTCAACATACACAATTAAATTAATAAATGTAATATGTCATGCAAACAAAATTAAAGACAAAAAATCTTGTGGAACAAGCCAGTCACAGAAAATTGTTTTCACTCTTAAGTCGGTGCTAAAAATGTGTACACATGGATATAAAAGGAGGAGTCATAGACAATGGAGACTCAGAAGGATGAAGAGGTCATAGATAGGTGGATGATGAGAAATTAGTTAATGGGTAAAATGTACATTAAATGGGTGATAGAAAACTGAAAGCACTCACTTGACCACTGTGCAATCTATGCATGTAACAAAATCACACATGAGCTCCCAAAATTTGTACAAATAAAAAGATACTACTCAAAATATTGGAAATTTAAACCCCAAAAATGTAAAAAATAAATCTTATGACCACATTTTTTTCACATCAGGAATGCAATATTCCTTCAACTTGAATCACTCAATTAATTCACCATACTGACTAGAGTTAAAATTTTATACTCATTTATAATAATTCCAAAGCATTTTATAAAATCCAAAATCTACTTATAATTTTTAAAAAGATTTATCAGGCTAACAAATAGGAGATAGTTTATTAATCTTATAATGATTTCAGAAAATCTATAGTAAATAATACACCTAATTATCAAATGTTGACATAATTTCTGCTGAAATAAAGAAAAAAAAAGAACACTGTCTACTATAAATTTTATTTCACATAACTCAGACTTCTAGCCAGAGCAGTGAAGCAAGAAATGAGCAAAATTAAAATTACTATAACTGAATAACAACACAATTTAAAAATTATTGTAATATAAAAGTATTTAAGGATAAATGGTAGCACTAATAAGAATTGAGGAATAAGGTTGCTGGAATAAAAGAACATTTAATATAAAACATATATTATATATATAAATTTTATCCCTATCAAGTAGACATAAACCAAAAATTAAATGAAAATGTACTATTTACAGTAGTAGCACAATAAGATACACTTATTAATAATTCAGGCAATTAATGTGCAAGACTTTCAGGAGGAAATTTGTAGAAGTTTAAAGTTAATAGTAGCCAAGAAATTCTAGTAGAGTAACAAGAAGTGTGGATTTGCCAGAACATATATGAAGACTTAAAATATAGTAATTAACATATGTGGTAATGCTTTGAGTTAGAGAATTTTTATTAAAAAGATATAAGAGTTAAGATAACATGTAATACTTTGAGTTAGATAAACCAATAGAAAAAATGCTCTTCAGAAAGTTATGCAGACATATAAGGATGCTTGATGTATTCCAGGGACACACACTTCCACATAATCAGGAAAAGACCTGACTTTTCAACAAGGGTGCTGTCGTGTTAGATGACTACTGACTACAGGTTTTTCATGTTTTTCTTCATGACTTTTAAACAGAGGCACTGACTTCCTTTGTTTTGGAATACCTTTTCAAGAATTTTTGCATAGCAAATAGACATGAAAGCTAGAGATACTGTCTCCATTCTGCCACCACCACCTAACAAAAGGCAGGTTTGTTTGATTTCCCATATATTCATGATAATGTCTTCTGGGACAAAAATCAGGCATACTTGCTGCCCATTACAGCAAATTTAGATTATTTAAACCCAGTGTTCCTCTCCTGTAATGCACCTCACTGAAGGTGTGGATGTCATCCGGCCCTCTTTGAGTGCCCCTGTGGAAAAAGGAACTTAGGAAACTTGTACCAATGTTAATTCTCTGGCTATTGTTATTGCTGTGATTAATAAATTATCCTTTGTCTCTGACTCAGAAGTCTTGTGTTTTGTGTTAGCATCCATGAAATTATGGCATTCTAACTTAGATTACAAATAAGGTAAAATCTCTGATTATTCACTATTCTTGGCACTGGACTTATTGTACATCCATAAGGAAATAAAAATATGAGGGAAAAGCAAGGAAGTTGCTAGCACAAAAGTCAAGATAATGGTATCTCTGGGAGAAGAGAAGTGAGAAGAATTTGATGAGGGAAAGGTATTTAGTGAAGTTTCTGGGATGTGAACCATATTCTACTTTTTTACTTGGGTAGTAGTTATTAAATGAATGTTATATTTATAATTTTTGTTTAAGCTGTGCATATGTTTTATGCACTTTTATTATGTCCCATAATAAAAATTGTTAAAGTAATAGGTTAGGACTCAGTGTTTGTAATGTATATTTAAGCACTTAGGACTTTGAATTTAAGTAAATGCTAGGTAAATTTTAAAAAGAAAGCAATAAGCATGTACTTTATACTTCTTAGAATACAGAATTATATACAATGTAAAGCAAGAAGCCTAGAAGAAATTAAAACCTAATGCTAATAATCTTTATCTCTGAGTAGTTTGAATACAGGTTGTTTCTTTTATCTTATACTTCTACAGGTAATTTTGCAATTTTTCTATAATTAGCATGTATTTTAAATGGAATGAAAAAGTATCCTTAAGAAGATAAATAAAACAAGAAGAGTATAAGGCAATTTTTTTTACCATATGCACTACTAAACTGTTACTCACTCATAAAAATTTACTGATGTTACTGAGTTATAGATTTAGATACTAGGACTCACACATGATTCCTCACACTAGAAGATAAAAGCATTCAAGAACCACAAGAGAGAATTCAGTCTAGAAGTCTGAATTCTAAACCCCAGAAAGGGCGAGACTGGCCGAAGTCTAGTTAAAGCAAAGTATATACCTGTCACAGAATGCTGATTGAAATAATCTTTCACTTGCATTCATAATAATAATGATGGAAGAATAAAATAATAGAAAAATATGGATGAATAAAATGTAGAAAAATATCAGTAGGAAGGATGTATTGAGTATTTACTTTGTGAAGAACACTGTGCCAACAATGCACACACATCATCTCATTTAATTCTCTGCACGATTCAATGAAGACAGAACAACTCTTAGTTCCATGTTACAAATATGAAGCCAGTCAGATTAAAGGATTTTAAGTAACTAGTCTCAGGTCACACAGGTAGTATGGGAGAAGCTATGGCAGATGCTTAGGGTATTTAAATCCAGAGCCAACACTTATCCAAATATGAAATAAAATTTTTAAATGACAGGAAATACTGACATATTTTTAAAAATCATTTAAATTGAAGATATCCAAAATCTTTGAAACCTTATTTCTGCTTTTTCCATTCTCACCCTCTGTAACATGACTTCACCTTTTGTTATTAGTTTAGAAAGAAAAAATAAAAGTTCTTTCTAGGAAACACTGCATGTAATATATTGTAATAATAATATTTCCCAATATTTGACCATTGATATGCCTTCTAAAGTGAGATACAATAGACTAATGGAATCCTGCTTCTGCCTCAAAATCATTGTTTAAATTGTAACAGCTCATTGAGACTTAACTTCCTCATGTGTAAGAATTACATAATTCATAAGGTTGTTATGAATATTAAAGTAGATCATTTAAATGAAAAATTCTGGTTTTATAAATAATTATTGATATATATTTTCAGTTTGGTAGAGAGAAGTGACAGGGTAAAGGGAACTGAAGGGAAAAATCCTTACGTTTTGGATGTCCTCCGAATCTCCATGTATTTTCTACCCAAAATACTCTCTAATAAATTCATCTCTCATTCCAAAACTCTGAAAAATTATTGTTTGTGATGCTAAATTGTTTTATGTGAGAATTATAAAGTGAAACAGTTATTTGTGTTGGTTACTATATCTACTAACACATATATGTAGATTTTGCATTTGTGTGTATGTATGTGTATTTTTTCTAATTACTTATGTAAAATCTATGAGAGCATTTTAGAGAAGAATGTTAGCTCAAAATGTTAAGTTTAATTGTCTGAAAATACGTTTACAAATATCTGCATTGCTAACCAAAAATGTTTGTAAAGGCAGTGGACCCAGAGAATGAAGAGGAATGATGGAGAGTCCTCCAATTCTAATGAGGGAGAACAGCATCCTAACCCCAGTTGTAGGTTTATAAACCTGGGATGTAGAATATAGGCTCCTGGATAGTATGTTATATATTGCAATAAAACCAAGTGAGAACTAAAGACCTTGAGCAATTAACTCTTAAGTGAAGAAGCTTTGGCAGCAATAATCACCTCTGAATTCCCCAAAGGACCCATTTGGCTGAATAACTACCCTAGAAAGCTTATCAGATTGCCCTGGTTTCTATAATAATATGCCGGGTATTATATATTTTGTCCATGAAACAGAATTGAACATTATATACTCTCTAAATCTTCGGACATATTTCTTCTTTTTTGTTACTTCTAAGTCAGTTGTCATGGTGTTTGTGGTGTGTATGTGTGTATGTGTACATGTGTGTTTTGCTTGTGTTTTTATAAGATATGGGATTTCTATTTGTGTAAAATGTCAGTGATGTTAGTGGGGAGATACACAAATTTGTGAAGTCTTTCACTTTTGTTCTCAGATCAACACTAAGTAATACTGGGGCAACCCTGTCTTTACAAATGATATGATTCTGATCCTAAATTTGTTTTTAAATTCAAACCCAACAAAAATAAATGCAATAGTAATAATAAGAGTAACAAAATGGGCTGTTATAATTTTACATTAATTTCTATCATTAGCATAATATTAATACATAACTTAAAATTAACTAGTGATTTTAAAACACTGGTTTTAGTAACGTCAAAAACCTTAAACATGCTGAGTTATGTTTACTAAACAGCTCAATAAACTGCTGCTGAAGCCATAGGATGTGGTAATCCTTATTATGGTTTATTGTACTAGAAACACCATAAGAGATAGTCTTATAAATGCTGTTGTGAAGGGTAACATACTGATAAGAAAATTACTGAATCGCTTAAATTTGAAACATTTTTGCAAAATGTTTTGATATTTTTTCACTAGAAATCAGGAACTGAGTAAAATCAAATGGAGAAACAAAAGTTACATTATAAGACATCCTGGAATATTAACATTGCTGACTTTGTTCATGCACCATCACTCAGGTAGTGAACAGAAACGTGCAGCCCTTAGCTATATTTTGCTTTGCTGAATATTTCAAACACCTGAAGGTAAAGTATTTTGAGTAAAGAACCACCTGGTTTGAGAATGAAAGATTGTAAAGCAGAAATTTAAAGCAACAGAGATTATAAAGTGAAAAAAAAAAAGAAAGAAAAAAGTCTCCTAGAAGACTACAAATTCCTGATAAATTGAAAGTAATTCAATTTACAGGGTTAGAAAATAGACTGTAAGTAAGGTGTTTGATATGTAGCTTGTAGGAAATTGGGAAACAACAGAAGCTAGGATGTAACTGCTTTTAGGAGTAGGTTCTCCAACCAGGGCTATTTTTTTTAGTGAGTGGTAGCAGGGGTGCAGGGATTTAAAAAGTGAAAGGGAGATGTTTTATGATGAATGGATAAACTATCCAGGTTGTCATCTCAAAATCAATTTTCTTGCTCAAAGTTAGAAATTATATACAACCTAGGAAAAAACATAATATTAATAATATTGCTATCAAGGACTATGAAGAGACTTACTTGCCAGCTTAAAAGGTATATTGCCATATTTTCATTATTTTCATGAGTGCTGGAAGGCACGGTACTTATGGGTCAGATACAGAAAAGAGTTTACTACTCACAGCATTCGTAGTACCCAGAATACCAATATTTCCTTGCACCTATTCTCCAAGCCCCAATTCCCACGAGAAAACAGAAAGGGCCAGATTATATCTGCATTCACAGTGTATTTGCATTGCAACTCAACAACCCCAATCTAAGGGAACCCAATCTTTATAATGAGCTTCCAGCAAGCCTGCTAAAGCTTTGCTCTACATGGAGACATTGTCTTTATTTTATAGACAGTAAAGAAATCTGCCCCTTTTTCAGGAGGGAGAATATATCTTCCAAGCCTGTTCACTCTACAAATATTCTTGAGAAACAGCAGTCTGGAAGAAAACTGTGTTTCTGCTCACAGATGTGTAGAAACAAGAGATCTTTGTTGAGTTGTCCCCCAGCATTAACATTTTACTGCATGTCTATCAGCATTATACAAATTTTATTTTCATTAACTGACTTTACCCTCAAGACAACTGAGGATCTCACCTCTCTGTGAGGTGGGAGCCTTCATCATCCTTTTAGTGAAGAGGAAAATAACGTGCAGAGAGAATATGTGTTTATCAATTGGTAAGTGCTAATCTGGCTCCAAACACATACTCTTTTTTTTTTTTTTTTTTTTTTTTGAGACGGAGTCTCACTCTGTCTCCCAGGTTGGAGTGCAGTGGCGCGATCTTGGCTCACTGCAAGCTCCACCTCCCAGGTTCACGCCATTCTCCTGCCTCAGCCTCCCAAGTTGCTGGGACTACAGGCGCCCGCCACCACGCCGGGCTAATTTTTTGTATTTTTAGTAGAGACGGGGTTTCAGCCAAACACATACTCTTAATATCGATGTGGTGGGAATGTTGTTGGAAGCAGCTTTGGGTAAGTTTATATATGTTCATATGTATCATATGTTATGCAAACATATATATGTTTGCACAAAGTATCAGGAAAATACACATCATGAGAGTCACTTTTTCCATATTTTTAGAGTGACAGATGTGTGAAACAAGGAAAAAATCAACAAACTTCTTATAAATCAGGATATCCGTGTGCTTTAAATATATTGGCCAATAATAAAATGCAAGATTGAAAATATCAGCAAGATGATGGGAATTTGGATTGACACATGGGGAAAGAGACATTTTAATGAGGAACGTATGACCAAGGAGAAAAAAAGAAAACAGATGGAGACCAACACAATTCCCACTCTTTGCCAGTTCCCACTAAGGGAATAATAGGAGTTATTAACAGAAAGACAGTGTAGTATGACAGTGTATTTGTTGTGATTTTTCATTTATACTCAAATTAATGATTAATCAGTTTCATATCTTTTTTAAACAAAATAACTTCAATATTTGTAACCAGATTTTTTGCTATATTTTAATAATAAAGATTCATTTAGTCACTTATAGTGCTAGCCAGTATGCTAGCTACTAGGGTATGCAGTGGTGAATAAGATAAAGCAGATGCAACTTGAATTTTAGAGGGGAAGAGTGACAATAAACAGATGACTGGAAAAGAAATATAATTTCAAATAATTAAAGTACTATGAAGAAAAATACAGCAAGGTAATGGAAAGTACAGTAAATAATTGATATTTTAAATAGTGTATTCATGAAAAGCCCACACAAGAGAATGCTTTTTGGCAACAATTTGATTAAAATGTCTTTCTAACATAGTTAAGTATTGAGTCGATTCAAGAAATGTAAGGGAAAAGTACCTATATTGGATGCACTATATAACCATTGCTACAAAATTGTGCTTTCATGGGTTATCTCTTTTAGAAATGATGCCAAGAAAACAGAGCAATCAGTGTGAAAATTGGTAGTAAAGATTGGGAATTATTGTTTTAACTGGAAATAAACTGTTTTTTTGTTGTTGTTGTTTTTTGTTTTTCCAGATAGCATGGATTATGTGATTGGTTAGTCTGGGATTGCTTAGTTTTGTTTTGTTCTAAGCCACAGATCCTACTCATGCATCTTCTGAGTTGCCTTGTCATTGCACATAAGGTCAAGTCCTTACAGCCCTTCCTTTTGTGCAGTGTCAGAATTGAATATCTCCTTAGCTGTAACATAGTCTATATACCCTGGGAAATACTGCTTCCTAAATGCCATACAACCTTCAGAAAACTTCTTAGCTCTCATTAGATGATGCAGAATAATAAGAATTATACCCAGACATATATCCCTTGATATGCATATGGCCCCGCAGCCTTGTGGAAAAGAACTTGAGTTCACTCTCAGTTGCGTTCCCACAGAAGTTGAGATGGCAGAGAAAAACAGTAGGGCGTCCTTAGTGAACACCGCAATGATTATGACAGAGTAGGCCAGACTGACCAAGAGGGCCTAGATATAAGTAAACCAAATTGGTATGAAGCTGGCCTAATCATCCTTTGGACCCAACCCACTATAGGGTTGTAGCATGATTTTTTTTTTAATAATGTTGCTCATTCCCTAATAGAACTATAGATTTATTTGTTTATTGCCTATTTTGCCCTTAGGACAGGAACTTTTTTTTTTATTATTGCATCTCTAATATTCAGCAAAACCTGGCAAAAGTAGACATTCAATTAATATCTGCTAAATACATTATTTAATTTTGTAAATTTTAATTTTTAATAAGTAAATCAATTTTAAACAATATTCTAATTTACCACTTTCTTTATAATTTCAACTTTTATTTTAGTTTCAGAGGTACATGTGCTGATTTGTTACATGAGTATATTGTGTGATGCTAAAATTTGGGGTATGAATGATGTCATTACCCAGTTAGTGAGCATAGTACCTACTAGGTAGTTTTTTAGCTCTTGCCTCTCTCCCTCTCTCCCTACTCTGGTAGTCCCCAATGTCTGTCATTCCATCTTTATGTCCATGTGTATCCAATGCTTAGCTTACACTTATGAGTAAGAACATGTGGTATTTGGTTTTCTGTTCCTGCATTAATTTGCTTAGGATAATGGTCTGCAGCTGCATTCATGTTGCTGCAAAGGACATGATTTCATTATTTCCTATACTACTGTGTAGTATTCCATGGTGTATATGCACCACATGTTATTTATTCAATCTACTGTTGATGAGCACGTAGATTGATTCCATGTCTTTGTTCTTAGGAATAGTGCTGTAATGAACATATGAGTATGTGTGTCTTTTTGGTAGAATGATTTGTTTTCTTTTGAGTATATATATATATATATATATATATATAGTAGTGGGAATGCTGAGTCGAATGACAGTTCTGTTTTAAGTTTTCTGAGATATCTCCAAACTGCTTTCTCCAGTGGCTGAGCTACTTTGCATTCCCACTAACAATGGATAAGAATTCCCTTTTCTTTTCAGCCTTGCCAGCATCTGTTATTTTTTGACTTTTTAGTAATAGCCATTCTGACTGGTATGAGATAGTATCTGATTGTGGTTTTGATTTGCATTTCTCTGGTGATTAATGATGTTGAGCATTTTTTTGTGTGATTATTAGCTGCTTGTATTTTTTTCTGTTAAGAAGTGTGTGTTCATGTCTTTTGCCCACTTTTTAATAGAGTTACTTTTGTGATTGTTGAATTGTTTAAGTTTACTTTTTTTTTTTTTTTTTTTGAGACAGAGTTCCACTCTTGTTGTCCAGGCTGGAGTGCAGTGACATGACCTCGGCTCACTGCAACCTCGGCTTCCTGGGTTCAAGCGATTCTCCTACCTCAGCCTCTGGAGTAGCTGGGATTATACGCAGCCACCACCACGCCTGGCTAATTTTTTTTGTATTTTTAGTAGAGACAGGGTTTCACCATGTTGGCCAGGCTGGTCTTAAACTGCTGACCTCAGGTGATCTGCCCACCTTAGCCTCCCAAAGTTTTGGGATTACAGATGTGAGCTACCATGCCCAGCCTAAATGTCTAAGTTTCTTACAGATTCTGGGTATTTGACTTTTATCAGATGCATAGTTTGTGAATATATTTTCCCATTCTGTAGTTGTCTGCTTGCTCTGTTGAGAGTTTCTTTTGCTGTGTAGAAGCTCTTTAGTTTAAGTACATCCCTCTTGTCTATTTTTCATTTTGTTGCAGTTACTTTTGAGGACTTAGCATAAATTCTTTCCCAAGGAGTGCCCAGAATGATATTTCCTTTGTTTTTTCCTAGAATTCTTAGTTTGAGGTCTTACATTTAAATCTTTAATACATCTTATATTATCTACCTTTTTTATGATTAAATAAAATAAAATTGCAAACCTATTCTATTTCCTTTGCTCAAATAGGTTTAAAAATTGCTATAAAAAGGAAGAAAGGAATGATACCTAATTAAACTTAAGAGCTTCTGCATGGCAAAAGAAACTATAGACCAAGTAAACAGGCAATCTGCAGAATGGGAGAAAATTTTTGCAAACTATGCACCTGACAGAGTTCTAATATTCAGCATCAATAAGGAACTTAAACAAATTTACAAGAAAAAAAAGAACCCTGTTAAAAAGTGGGCAAAAGACATGAACAGACACTTCTCAAAAGAAGACATACATGAGGCTAGCAAGCAATTAGACAAAAGCTCCGTATCACTGATCATTAAAGAAATGCAAATCAAAACCGCAGTGAGATACCATCTCACACCAGTCTGAAAGGCTATTATGAAAAAGTCAAAACAAAAAACAGATTCTGGTGAGATTGCAGAGAAAAGGGAACCCTTATACACTGTTGGTGGGAGTTTAAATTAGTTCAACCATTGTGGAAAGCAGTATGGCAATTCCTCAAAGATCTAAATGCAGAACTACCATTTGACCCAGCAATCCCATTACTGGGTATATACCCAAAGGAATATAAAGCATTCTATCACAAAGATACATGCATGTGAATGTTCACTGCAGCACTGTTCGTAGTAGCAAAGGCATGGAATCAACCTAAATGTCCATCAATGACAGACTGGATAAAGAAAATGTGGTACATATACACAATGGAATATTACGCAGCCATAAAAAAGAATGAGCTCATGTCTTTTGTGAGAACATGAATGGAGCTAGAGGCCATCATCCTTAGCAAATGAATGCAGGAACAAAAGCAAATGCAGCATGTTCTCACTTGTAAGTGGGATCTAAGTGATAAAAACTTTTGAACGCAAAGAAGGAAAAAAAAGACACTGGGGTCTACTTCACTGGGGAGGGCAGGAGGATGGAGGGCGGGGGCAGAAAAAATAATTGGGTACTGGGCTGAATACCTGGGTGATGTAATGTTATGTACAATAAACCCCCGTGACACATTTTTATCTATGTAACAAACCTTGACATATACCCCCCAAACCTAAAATAAATTTTTGTTTTAAAAAAAGGAAGCAAGGAGGCATAACAAAACAAAACAAGAATAATTCAGTGATAGAAGCACAAGCTTAAGAGAAACTAAGAATGATAAGCAAAATCAAATTCAAATGACTGTTGGTACAAATTTGAAATTGGAAAACATGTCACAAAATGGCATTATACAGTAGTAATTGAGGAAAAAGTGAGTATATGAACGCATTTTTATTTTCAAATACTGGTGGTAGAATCACTTACTTTTCTTTTACCCATTATCTCCTGTATTCCTATCAAATACAGAAAAGTCAGGGCACCATTACTTTAATGGTCTAGATATAAAGGATTTGGGTTATAATATTGACTTTGGAGCTAGGCAAAGTTGGTTTTGAATTCTGACTCTGACACTTTCTTGCTGATGACTTTGGACAGTAAACTTAAATTCTCTATGCCTCAGATTTCATGGTATTAAAATAATGATAGCAATAGCTAACTTACAATGTTACTGTGAATATTAAATGTGATAAATCATATAATGCTTAGCAGTTACTACCTAGATAGTCATCAATAACTGGCATTTACTACTATTAGAGGAAATGTTCTATACAGATACATAAGGACAATTGATTCTAGGATGAATAAAATAGTTTTTCATCATGGATGTTAATAGTACCTAAAGACTTTTGGGGCCTATGAGAAAAGTAGATTAGGTAACATTAATATGTGGGGTCCTCTGTCATCACTGCCCAGCCTTATTAACTTGAATGTATTAGCAAGAAATCCTGAGTTCCACCTATAGGTTATTGGGTGCAGGACAAGTCCTTTTTTTATTTATTTCTCATACTGATCCATTTGCCCCGTTTTTCAGAGGAAGAAAATGTAACTCAGAGTGATAAAATAATTTGCCCAAAATCACACAGGATTTGGGATTTGAAGCTGAAACCATCTATCTCAAAAGTGTATTATCTTTCCATTCTGAGATGCTGACTTCTTTTATGCCTTGGATTCATTGGATTTTTCTCTACTTCTGATACATCTCTTTTACAGATGAGAAATCAAGTGGAACTGATTGTTTTATATCCAGAAAGTAGCAAAATACATATGGTGAAATTCAGAAGTGGTCCAATTCCCAAAGAGTCATTTTTACCTCAGTAAATTTGTATATTTTTTAATATCTTATATTGAGTGTATATATTTATTTTAATAGTGAGGCCTTATCATTTTTCCTTTATAGGGAATACCAGAGATTTATTCTGTCTTTTGAGGCTAAGAAGCTGTCTTCCAGGCATTGCCTAGTGGACTGGGAGTAATGTAATACCCCAAAGCCAGAGAAATACCCTTGCAGGGTTTTAAAAGTGGCTTATAGACTCAAAATAATGACCTCTCATACCTGCCATCTTAAAATGATGCAGATTTTATGACCTTTTGTGTATAACTAAAACAATAGGAGGTGGCTTAAGGATATGATGACTTTGTTTATTATATATTAGAGCATCTCACAGAACTAAAGTGTAAGAATGAAACTAGGCCTCAATCAGAGACACTCAATTAAAATATGGAAAGTGGTCAGGAATTTACTCTCCTTTATCATTGATTTTGTAAATAACTTTCTCTGTTTCTCTGTTTACCTGGTGAAATATGGCTGCATAAGAGCATATAAATGTGGATGTTACATTTTGAAACAAATAAACCTCTAGCCACTCACTCAATGTCTCTGAATCCCAATTCCAAATTACTAGAAAAGGAAATCTGAATAGTATACTTTAGGTCTAGAATTCAGTCATAATAAAATTAACAGTAATCATGGGGCTGGGAAAATGTACAAATGTACCATGTAGAGCTCATTCCTGTATGTAGAGGAATGTTCTTGTGGAAGGCAAGAGACTTATATGGAAAGAAGTTGTCTAACTTGTCTACAACATATGTACATATCAAATATTATACATATAATTTCAACCAACTCACTACACATTCATAGACTTACACTTTAAAGTCCTTAAAAAAAAGCCTGTTATAGAGTAACAAAATCTGCTCCCAGCCCTAGCCAATGTTTTCAGTGCTTGTGCAGTATGTGTGTGTGTGTGTGTGTGTGTCTATGCACGCACGTGCATGTACGTGCACATGTCAATACACATGCACACGTACCATTGGTGCAGAATGATTTTCCCTCATTTTGCAAAAGTTGGATATATTACTTTAAACAGCAGCTGGATCATGTTTTGTATGTAAACATAGATTCAATTTACTGGAATAAAGAGAATATGGGCTAGACAAGAGAAAGGGGAGGCAAAATATATCCAGGAGGATATATTTTGTGTAATCACTGGAGCTGTCCTGGCAGATGGGGGCTCAGGAAATGATAATGCTTTAATAATATTTGCACCTTGTGCAGTTTCACTCTGGTTTCATCCTGCCTTTGCCTTTGCTGTGGTCAGCTCATGTTTGCCTTTGCAATGGGAAGTCAGAGGTGCCAGCTCTATTGAAAGGGGAACTGTGGTGTAGGTGCCTCTCTATTAAAAACCAAGCAATGACATCTATATTATTTGTGTATGCTTGAGGACAGGCATTTATGATAATGACTTGCTAGCTTTGCTGACCCTGGTTTGATTCAACCTGCTGATATCTGATTCATCCATTTCTATTAGAGTGCTTGTAGATGGATGCAAATATTATTGTTAGAACGGAAATACTTTAAAATGTATTTTATTTTTGCAAAATAAATTCCTAACAAATGCTAGATTTGAGGGGATCAATAAATTTTTATTTTCTTATAAAATGATTCTGTCAACCTAACATCTAAATACTATTACCAAAAACTAAAATTTTTCACATTAAATGCCAAAAAGTCTTGTTTTTTAATTATGTTTATAATGACAGCTAGACTAATTTTATGGGAAGTAATCCCCTTAGTTTGTTGAAGCAATAAATTTTCCTAATCCATAGGTTATATATGTATATATATATACACACACACACGTATGTATGTATGTGTATATATATAATTTAGTTTACAGCTTTTATATACAAAAATTAGATTTCTTATGTTTTTACTTCTAAAGAAATATATTAGTAAAACTTGCAATGAAGATTTGTATAATATATAGTAAGAATATAAAAATAATAAAATAGGACTTTGGCCTTGGGGTAAGACTATCAGGGTTTCACTCTTTAACTCTCTACCTCTTCCTATAAGTCACTTGAATATTTTTGCATAATTTTTTTCCAATTGTAAAATAGCAAATAGAATTTTATGAGAACTTTAGCACAATGCCAACAAAAAATAATGACCCTATACATTTTGTATGTGGTCACTAATATTAACAATGATTATAGTGATAATATAAACGTAAGAATAATATTAACCAATAATTAGTGATAAATTAATAATACTGGTAATTAAGCAAAAAAGAAAAGAGATGATGAATTTTAGAAAGTAATACTATTTCAGTAAATATATTCATTTATAAATATACCTTATTGCCCACCTGCTGTCCCAGAATTAAACTGATTATTTTACTAATGCAATGATATGCCTAGAATCTGAAATAAGAACTTCTGTCTTTTGTTAATAGCAATGTATGTAGTTTGAATAAACAAAAATTCACCTTTAGAACATAGTTTGTTTATCTGAAAATTATAAAAAATAGCTTACAAACAGTGAGTATACCAAGAAATTAATTTGGTCTTATATAAACCTAGAGATTTCTGAAAGAAAAAAGAACAGACTGGATATTTTGATTTACACATTAATAATACCATTTAAAACTGATTTCTTACATCCAGAAGATATGTAACAGTTACCTTAAATAAGATCTGTTTTTTATAAATAATTGAAAAAAAAGGTCAAAAGAGAAGGCCATATTTTAGAGAAAAAGATAAAAATAAACTTAAAAAAATTTTAAGGATGGAGTCTCACTATATTGTCCATGCTGGACTGCAATGGCTATTCACAGGCTGAACACGATGAACCCCTGAGCTCAAGCAGTCCTCCCATCTCAGCCTCCCAAGTTGCTGGGACTACAAGCATCCACCACTTCACCTGGTTCTATATATATATATAAAATATGTATATAATATATATAATATATAATATTATATAATATATTATATATATAATATAATATATTATATATATTATATATAATATAATATATTATATAATATATATGTATATTCCTGAAATGGAGATGAGTAACAACATCAGTTAGGAATACCTATAGCATTGACATGGTATATTTTGGCAATGGTAAATTGGTACAAAAATTTAAGGTCCACAACTCTAGTGACCAGATTAATAAATATGTTGTAATATTTGCTTTGTTGTGTCAACTTGACTGGGCTAAGGGATGCCCAGATAGTAAAACATTATTTCTCTGTATCTATGAAGTTGTTTCCAGAAGATATTAGCATTTGCATCAGTAAACTGAGTAAGAAAAATATATGCTGACCAATGTTGGTGGGCATCCACAAATCCAGTGAGGACCCAGATAGAACAAAAAGGCAGAGGAAGGGTGAATTTGTTATTTATTTTCTTGATCAGGGATGGCAAGGTTCTCCTACCCTAGATGTTGAAGCTCTTGGTCTTAGAAATTCTTGACTTTAGGACTCGTACCGTCCTCCCACCCAGTGCGTTCTCTTGCCTCAGGTTCTCAAGTCTTTATCCTTAGAATGGGAGTTACACCATCGGCTCTCTGGGTTCTTAGACCTTCAGACTCTGACTGAATTACATATCTGGCTTTACTGGTCCACCAGCTTTCACATGACATATTAGGGGACTGCTCTGCCTCCATAATCATGTGAGCCAGTTTCTATAATAAATCCCCCCCATCTTTATCTCCTCTCTTTCTCTCCCCTTCCTTTTCTCCATCTCCATTCTTCCTATTGGTTCTGTTTCTCTGGAGAACCCTGACTGAAACATATGTATTTGAAAAAAATATTATAAAATAAAATTCAAAATTTCTTGATTTTCTTTCCAGCATTTTTTAGACTCAATACTCTGGGAAATCTTTCAGATTTACTATAGCAGTGTAGTGTAGTACTTACTACTATGCTGAATAGTATATGCTGAATAAAATAATTTTGATACAATCTGGAACTTTCAAAAAATAAGGAAATTTTTAAAAACCACCCTGCATACACAGATAAACAATGAACACTATGAATGCTAAATATAGACCTGCAGGCAAAAATCTGTAATGAAATAGAAGGTTTTGGATCACCATAAATGGTATTTAAAAATGGTAGCATTATTCTCAGTATAGCAATACTAAGTCTTGGACCATCAATAAGTAGAAGTACTTAAAACAGAGGACCTGTTTAAAGTAGACAGTTTGAGAGAATTAGAGTCTAGAACAAGAAGGGGCAAATATTCCTGCAGGAAATCTTCCCAAATTTAGGCCTGGAGGATGGTCACAATTAGGATAATGCAAGAGGAATTTCACAATTTTCCAATCAAGTATCAGTAAGTACAAAAACGAATAAGCCAACATGTGTAGCAGTCATCAGAAACAATGAATAATATCTTTGAGATACTGAAGTCTTTCGTGTTTATAATTGGCAAAGGCAATAGCTAAAATGAAAAATAGAGATCTACTGTACCAGATACTGCCTATATTAGACAATACTGTATCATATATGTAAAAGTTTATTAAGAGGTTAGATCCCATGTTAAGTGTCTTTATCACAAAATAAATAAATACATAAATAACGAGGTCTAGAGAACGCTTTTGGAGGTGATGGATAGGTTTATGTGGTGATGGTTTCATGATATATACGTATTTCCAAACACATCAAATATTATACATTAAATATGTATATATTTTATATGTCAACCATAGCTCAACACTGTGGTTAAAAAATAAATGATGGAAAAAATGGACTCATATAGAAAGACAAAAAGCTTTTTAAAGATGTCAGAATGACTGGCAACTCTGAAACAGCCAAAATAAACTCCTAGGGAAAAGATACATAATTTATTAAAAGTAAACTTTCAATTATCAGTAGAAAAACAAATTAGACACAGTTAAAGATAAAATGGAGGACTTGAAAAAAAACCTGAAGAAATATCTGAAATGCATCATAGAGAGACATAGAACCAGATATGTAAAAATAAAGTAATGGAGGGGAAGAATAACTTTGTTTACATACTTTCCTAGAAAGAGAGAATAGAGTTGAAGCTTTAAAATCAGAGAGATTTGACAGATAACAAATATAGGATATGGCCTCATATAAGAAAATTAGACTGGCAGTTTTCAATATTAATGTACCCAATAAATGAAAGCATATATGTAAATCTAAACAGCCATTGTACATAAAAATCTATATCTAATTTATGGGGTTACTATATGTAAAAATAGTAGCATGTACATCAGGAAGTGTGTAATAAGAGGTGAATTATTCTAGGGTTTTTGAATTATTCAGAAAGAGTAAGATATTATTTTCCTTCAGGTTATATTAAGATAGTATGCATAGTTAAATTTCAGGCATAACTACCATAAGAATAGGATACAATGTAATTCCCAAACCAGTAAAGGGGAAACAATGGAAAAGGAAAAAAAGAAGGAAACAAACAAATTATACCAACCAAATATGGAGAATAGGGAGAGAGGGCAGGAGTTAGGGAAGAAGTGTAAGTAAAACATGTATGAATTGAATAAAAAGATCATAACTTCCAATTCCACTTGTAAGGAGTTTGGAAGCTGCCACTACTAACAAGATGTATAAAGCTTTACAAACTGAAAAATCTACAACAGCTCTTAGATTAATAAGAGAAGTGAGGTCACAGGGTCAACCACTGTCTCCAAATTTGGAAGGACAGACAGGTGCCTACAGAGAATCACAACTTATCAGGGAAGAAATTCATGACCTTAAACTCCTGTAGGAGCCAGTGCTGAGTTCATCATATCCAGTTATCAAGAAAAATTTGAAAGCATACCAAATGACAAAAAAGACAGTTTCAAGAGACAGAGCAAACATCAGAACCAGACGCGACCGGGATGTTGGAATTGTCATACCAGGAACTTAAAACAGCTATGAATAATTTGCTAAGTACTCTAATGGATAGAGACAATGCACATACACAAAAAAATGAGCAATGTAAGCAGATAAGTGAAAATCTTAACAACAAACCAAAAAGAAATGCTAGAGATAAAAATCACTATAACAAGATAGAAGAATGCCTTTGATGTGTTTTTAGTAGACTGGATTCAGCTAAGAAAAGAATCTTCAAGCTTAAGATATCTCAATAAAAACATCCAGAACTTAAAAGCAAAGACAACAAAGAACAGTAACAACAAAAGAACAGAGTATTCAAGAATTGTGGGGCAGGGAGCTGTGGCTCACACCTGCAATCTCAGCACTTTGGGAGGCCAAGGTGGGTGGATCATTTGAGGCCAGGAGTTCAAGACCAGCCTTGCCAACATAGTGAAACCCCATCTCTACTTAGAAAAAGTATAAAAATTTGCCGGGTGTGGTGGCAGGTGCCTGTAATCCCAGCTACTCGGGAGGCTGAGGCAGGAGAATTGCTTGAACCCAGGAGGCAGAGGTTGCAGTGAGCCGAGATCACACCACTATACTCTAGCCTGGGTGACAGAGTGAGACTCCATCTCAAAAAAAAAAAAAAAATTGTAGAATAAGTACAGAAGGTGTAATATATGTGTAATGGGAATACCAGAAAGACAAGAAAGAGAGAAAGGAACATAAAAATATTTGAAAGGATAATGAAGAATCTCCCCAAATTAATGTCAGACCACAAACCGGAGATCCAGAAAGATAAGAGAATACCGAACAGGATAAATGCCAACAAACACACAACAAAAAAACATAAAAGACAAAAAAATACAAGTAGACATATCATTTCAAAGCTACAGAAAATCAAAGATAAATTAAAATTATGAAAGAAGCAGAGAAAAAAGAAAACACCTTACATATAGATAAACAAAAGGAAAATTTGCATCTGACTTCTCCTCAGAAACCAGGCATGCAAAAAGATAATAGAGTAAAACATTTAGTGTTGAGAACAACGACAACAACACAAAAACAAAAACTCACCAACCTAGAATTCTGTAGCCTGCAAAATTATCTTCAAAAGTTTAAAAGGATTAAGCCCACATTTTCCCTAAAGATATCTGCTCTCAAAGAGCAGCTGAGACACTGAACAGTTTTCAACACCCTCATGGTGATGAGCTTGTTAATAGCCAAACTGCTGATAAATGAAGACATTGAGAAAATCATTAAAGCAGCTTGAGGAAAACACAATAACTCTGTAAAAGCAACAAGGAGGATAAAAACAAACATCGCCAGAAAAAAAGTTGAAGGAAAATTAAAACAAAACGTGTTCAAAAGAAAGAAAAAATGTTAATTACAATTTTATAACCAGTGAAAACAAGTTTTATAAAAAGAAGACAATACATTTTCAGTCACCATTAGTCTTCCCAAAGTGCTGGGATTACAGGTGTGACCCACTGGGCCCAGCTTATATTTAAGTTTTTAAGGAACTTGCAAATGGTTTTTCACAGCACCCAGATAATTTCGCATTCTTACCAGCAATGTACAAGGGTTCAAATTCCTCCACATTTCCCCAGCATTTTTGTTAATTTCTGTTTTGTTACTATTATTATTGCTGCTCTAGTTGATGTGAACTGGTATCTTATTGTGACTTTGTTTTGCATTCAATTAATTATTTTAGGAATATTTTCATGTACTTGTTATCCATTTGTGTATCTTTTCTGGGACTGTCTATTCAAATATTTTGCTTATTTTAAAAATATTGAGTTATTTGTTAATTTTTTGTGGGGTCATAAGAGTCCTTATTATACCAGTACCATGCTGTTTTGGTTACTGTAGCCTTGTAGTATAGTTTGAAGTCAGGTAGTGTGATTCCTCCAGCTTTGTTCTTTTGGCTTAGGATTGACTTGGCAATGCGGGCTCTTTTTTGGTTCCATATGAACTTTAAAGTAGTTTTTTCCAATTCTGTGAAGAAAGTCATTGGTAGCTTGATGGGGATGGCATTGAATCTGTAAATTACCTTGGGCAGTATGGCCATTTTCACGATATTGATTCTTCCTACCCGTGAGCATGGAATGTTCTTCCATTTGTTTGTTTCCTCTTTTATTTCCTTAAGACTTGGAACCAACCCAAATGTCCAACAATGATAGACTGGATTAAGAAAATGTGGCACATATACAACATGGAATATTATGCAGCCATAAAAAATGATGAGTTCATGTCCTTTGTAGGGACATGGATGAAATTGGAAATCATCATTCTCAGTAAACTATCGCAAGAACAAAAAACCAAACACCGCATATTCTCACTCATAGGTGGGAATTGAACAATGAGATCACATGGACACAGGAAGGGGAATATCACACTCTGGGGACTGTGGTGGGGTGGGGGGAGGGGGGAGGGATAGCATTGGGAGATATACCTAATGCTAGATGACGAGTTAGTGGGTGCAGTGCACCAGCATGGCACATGTATACATATGTAACTAACCTGCACAATGTGCACATGTACCCTAAAACTTAAAGTATAATAAAAACAAACAAACAAACAAACAACAAAAAAAAGAGTCCTTATTATATTCTAAACAGTGAATGATTACATTTGTGATTTTCAAATATTTTCTCCCATTCCCCATATTGCCTTTTTACTCTAATAATGCCTTTTGATGAACAGTGGTTTTTAATATTTATAAAGTCCAATTTATTTTTTCTTTTGTTGCTTGTGCTTTGTCTGTAATATCTGAGAAAATTTTGCCTAGTTCAGGTCATGAAGTTTTACACCTATGTTTCTTTGCAAGAGTTTTATAGTTTTAGCTCTTACATTTAGGTCTTCGATCCATTTTGAGTTAAGTCTTTGTGAATACTATGAAGAGGGAGTCTAATTTAACTCTTATACATGTCAATATCCTGATGTTCTTGCAATATTTATTGAAAAATTATTCTTTCCCTGTAACCTTGTTGAAAATAAACTGACCTTAGACATATATGTTTATGTCTAGATTTTCACTTTTATAACTTTGATCTAAATTTCTGTCCCTAAGCCATTACCACGCTATCTTGATTACTGTAGCTGTGCGTTAAGCTTTGAAATTGGAAAGTATGTGTCCACCAACTTTGCTCTTTTTCGTAATTTTTGCCCATTTTTGGCACCTTGTATTTCCATGGAATTTTAAGATCAGATTTTCCTTTTCTGCAATAAAATGGTAGTTGGAATTTTAATAAGAATGGTGTTGAATGTGTAGATAAATTTGGGTAGTATTTTTACTAACTTAGTGATATTAAATCTTCCAGTCAATGAACAAGAGATGACTTTCCATCTATTTAGGCTTTCTTTAGTTTCTTTCAGGCAAATGTAATACAGCCTCATCTTTGCCCTGCTCTCACCCATTACAAAACCTTGCACAAGTGTTAATGTTCTTGGAATCGTATTCCTTACCCTCTTCTCGTAGTGCCTGTGGAAACTTCTTATATCAGCTTGCTTTCCTACTTTTAAGTAGCCTTCCCTGACCATTCTGACTAGTTCATCTCTCCCTATGAAAGAATTTCATAAGCACATCTCTTATTTGTAACACTCAGTATACTGATTTAAAATATGTAATTAGTATATTTTTCTACTTTGGACTGTAGGCAACATGAAGGTAATAATTGGGTCTACTTTTTTGCCCCATATCTACTTTCTTTGGGAAATGCTCTATTCCTGTTTCACCAAAATTTATTGGCACTTCAATAAAGGAAACTGCCTCTCATAGACATAGTCTTGTGATACATCATGGACTTTGTGGACTAGCAAATTGCTATTTCCTTGACTATAGTGAATGAAAGTTCATTTTGTACATATGATCCAAGCTGTGCTCATTAACATCTTTTTGTCAACAGGAAGTTTAGGTCCTGAAAAGGAAAGGTACTTTTCTAAGATAGTAAAAACTGTGGAAAGCTGGACTTTTCAAATGTATTGTTTGTTTACAATGAAAGATCTCTCTGATAAGGTACTAAACATAGAAAACACAAAACAGAGTGATGCACAGACATAATCTTGAGAACGTTGTTTCAATATTTGTTTAGCTAGCTCTACATTTTTGACATGTGAGTTAAGGAGTCAGTACATTCTTTTATTTTATTTTTTGTCTTAAGGTGCGTTGAATAGAGCATTTTTACTTGAAACTAAGAAAGCTAAGTGATATAGCTGTTTACCAGGTATATCCTCCTGAATCTGAATTTTGAAGATGTCTCTATAATGTTATCTTCTTCCCAGTCTTTTTCATCTTGTTTGCTCTGTATTCATGTATGACTGACTCTATCATTAACTGTTTCCCCTTTATTCTTTTTTCTTTACCTTTTTTGGAAATGATTAGGATTCCTTTAAAAGAAAAGATAAATTCATTACTTAGGAAAATAATCAAGAAGTGTTCAGTGTAAATCTTTCCATAGTTATAACAACGTTAACAGCCTCATTGACTGAGTATGTACAATTCACAAGGAATGCAGTTAGACACTTTACACCCACCATTACTTCATCTAATCATCATGATAAAATCTGCAAGGTTTGTATTAATGAAATAGTTGCTGACATTTTACAGAGAAACAATGTGAAACTCATACAGATTACAAAATATTGGAAAGTTTTCCTGTTTATTAAATCACAAAGTAAAGATTCAAACCAGGTCAGTCTTATTCCAAAGGCAATGTTACTCCCATTAGGCTCTGCTACTGATGCGAAAGTTACAATAGTCTGGAAATAGTGGTATTTTATGAAGAGCATTTAACATTGCACAGATTAAAAGTACAGTTCTTTAAAACACTGAATGTCTTCACAGACAATGTTGTGAGATTTAGCCAAGATGGAGAAAAGGGCAGTTTTTCCATGCTGCTTATATTGAGTATTAAATGGAGATATGGCTATGAATATGGTGTAAAGGATTTCTCATTAAAACAGAATTTGTCATATCTACATCTGCATAGAAATTTTGGGTGAATTATATACCATATGAGTACTAACCTCACAATGCAGAGTAGGATAATTTAATACTTGCTAAATAGAATTTTGTCTATGCTAGGATTTTTCCAATGAGCATTACTGAATCCAACAAAACTATCTCTATTCTATATTTGTGTATATTGAATATGATAAAAACAAATAAAAAGGATAGCTGTTTATATTCCAGTAGTGACTCCTCCAAAGAAAGCATATCAATCACATATAATTAAGCTGTCAGTTCCTAATTTAGGAAAAACTATTCCATTCTAAACTGGGAAATGTAAATATCAAAATAAAGGAAGTTTTAGAAAATAAAACATAATTCAACTACCTTCTATTTCTATTGTCACTCTGATATTAGGGTTACTATTGTCTTATTTTCTATGCATAATAAATGGATATTTTATTTGCTACAAGAATCAGCATGTTTCAAGCAAAACATTTTACACTGAATCTGGATTGGAATTATGCACTTACCTGAAAAGGTTTATGAATTCCCCCCGGTATAAATATAAATTTGATCCTTGAAGGAAAATTTATAGTTAATCTTAGTCATGTCCTTGAGCTGTCTTCTGGTACATAGGGATGAACTAAGCAAATGAAAGGCATATGTACATGTATAAAGTTTGACATGGGACTTATTGGAGTCCTCAGATTTATGGGATAACTTTTATTGGGCTATTTTCCATTTACAGCTCTGAGATAAAGCATTTAGTCCATATAAGGTTAGTAATTAGCCCTCACAAGACTATTTATGTCACCCACACCTAAAATGACAGAAACAGTCAAGGAACTTTATTAAAGATCTTCTCATGAATACATGTCATAAAGTTTAGGAACATTAAAAATGTTTTTTTCTCAGTGATTACTTTTTATATATTCATTAATTTATTTTGGGCATTATTTACTGATAAAGGAAGACAGCCAAGGCAAATGTTCATTTTTTTACATGAAGAGAATAATATAATATTGCCCAATATGTTTTAACCTATAATCTAGAAAGAGGCAAGATGAAAGAGATGCAAATATCACTAAAATATACAGATTTCTCTATAAAAATGAACATGTATTAATGGGCACATCAATAATAACTGTAATTTTTTTATCTCTGTATTCCATTTTGCTTGTTGGAAAAATACAAGGATTCAAGGCAGGTGGAAGGCAATTTATGGAAGGTTGAAGCACAGCCATTTGTTAAGAGCAAAATAGCCAGAACTCTGAATGATCTTGATGAAGAAGGGAAAGTTTAAGTAGGAGTAAAAGGACACAATGAAGAACTCTGTGAAAGACACTGAAAAATTATGACATTTTATTCCTTCTCACAAGTGTCTTTCCCCTTCAAAGAGAAGGAAATGCCCTGAAAATTCTGAAATAATGGTGACGTGATAGAGATTAGGCGGAAATGAAGTCTGTCTGTGACCTTTCAATATTGTAGAAACTGAGGCTAAGTATTTTTATATTGTGTATAATTTCCTTCAGTAGCAGTGGGACTAAGAAAACATAATAAATTGTGATAAATTTATATGGTATATAAGTATACTAATCCTGCAGGGGAATATGAAAGAAAGGCTATGAGTCCAGTACTTTCTAACTGGTTTCGTTTTGTAAGAAATCATTTTTTCTATAAATTGGTAAGTCTTGACCACCAGGAAAAAGAATTTTCCAGCCTTTACAAGTTTCATTTCAACTGTCTAACCATGGATAGAGTTGTGGGGAGAGGGAAACATAAAGAAAACCCCTGATCTTTCTCCTTCAAAACATGTAGCATTGATTGATAGTTGTTTTAGAGAAGAAAGTATCCCATCATTACTGTATGACACTTTCTAGGACAACATTTTTATGACAAAAATTCATCTGGTGGGCATATAAAAATAATGATGGGAGAAATCTGTGCATGGCATAAAGATGCAAGTGTCTTCATAAATCTATGCAAAGTATAAGTATGTTTGAACAGTAATGAAAGAAGCAAGGTACTTTCAGAAATAAGGTCTTGTACTCATATTTCTAAATCTAAGTTTGATCATCTTTAGAAAGCTGTCTGAGCATTGAATTTTTTTTATAGTTTTGCGTTCATGAGTACAAACACTTATTTATATATTTTATTTTATTCAGGACATACTTATTTGAACGTTAACTGTATGTTAGAAAAAGTGGAAGATTTAAAAAAGTCTGAATTCCTGCTATCAAAAACTTTAGTAGTAATGAAGACAAAGACACATACTCAAGTAATTATAGAATAACTTATTACCTCTTTTTTTTTTTTTTTTTTTTTGTGATGGAGTCTTGTTCTGTTGCCCAGGCTGGAGTGCAGTGGCAGGATCTCGGCTCACTGCAAGTTCCGCCTCCCAGGTTCACGCCATTCTCCTGCCTCAGCCTCTGGAGTAGCTGGGACTACAGGCGCCCACCACCACGCCCGACTAATTTTTTTTTGTTTTTTAGTAGAGACGGGTTTTCACCGTGTTAGCCAGGATGGTCTCAATCTCCTGACCTTGTGATCCACCTGCCTCGGCCTCCCAAAGTGCTGGGATTATAGGCGTGAGTCACCACGCCCGGCCAACGTATTACCTCTTAAGTGTCATAAGATGTCAAAGTATTATGAGTTTAGGTTTGTGGTTCTTAAAAGAGCAGAGTGTGTTGGGATGAAGAAAGTCAGGGAGAAAGACTGGACATGAGTAATTAAGAAAATATATAGACATTTATGTAAATTTTTAACCTGGCCTCCTTTTTTTCACACTGTACATGTAGTATTGTGTTTTCAAAATTTTGATTGTGAAGTAGGGCATATAAGTGTGTAGAGACTGTATAAAAATAATATGGAGTGATGAAAAACTAGAGTGGTCAAATTCAAATTCAATCTCAAAAAGAACAGTTTTAGGTTTATAAAAGACATTCTTTGTTCAAACACAAGTCTTTTGACCACATTTGACCCAGTGTTCAACATTTTGTGACTTTATATCCTCTTTAGAGATCTCATTCCCTCACCATTTGATTGATATGTATATTTTCTAATTCTAATATATTGTTATGGAAAACACAGTTATTGACACGTACTCTGTATTAGCTTCTGTGGAAGACATCAAACACAGCAGAGGTCAAGCAGATATAGTCCCTGTACTTTCGGAGTTTGAAACCTAGCTGTGACAGATAATAAATGAGTAAACTAAAAAATAATCATTACAAATGGTGATACATGTTATTAAGGGAATCAAGATGATGCAATGATAGAATATAATAAGGCAGTACCTAATTAGGAAGTGTGGTCAGAAAAGCTCTTAGGCTGAGATAAAATATAGGAAAAGATGTCTGCCATGTGGCTGCTTATTGGCTGAGTTTGAGGTTGAGGCTATTGATGTTCTAGTCAGAAGCAACCACCTGGGTAACTCTATGAGAAATAAAAGAGCTGGGCTTCTTTGAGAACTGAATGGAAGGCTGTATTGGGACCCTATCATTTAAGGTGCAATAAGAAGCCATTGAATGTAAAAAACCACCCTGTACTCTATGAAAGTTATTTTTTTGCCCACTGATAATAGTTTGGTTCACTTGACTTAAAATATAGCTTTATTTTCAAATATTTAAAACATAAAATAATATAAAAAATCATTTCAACTCCCAGTTGATTCCTCTTTCCACCTCATTGCTAGGATGGTGTAGGCTGTTTGAGGCTATCTGAGGTCCTACAGTAAAAAGTGGAGTATGGTAGGCAGAATACTAAGATGGCCTGTCAAGGTTTCTCGACCATGTCATTCATTAAAACATTAATCTAGGTGCTGTTGTGAAGAGATTTTGTTGATTTAAATGAAGTCCCAGCTTGGTAGATTTTAAGACTGAGAGATTATCTCAGTGGATTTGACTTAATCTCTTGAACCACTTTCTAAAAAGAGTTTTAGTTGGCTAGTTGCAGAAAAGAAAATCAGAGTTTCAAAGCTTTAAGGGGATTCAATGTGCCACTGATGACTTGTAGATGGAGGGGTACATATGAAAAGGGCTTCAGAGTGGCCTCCAGGAGTTAGGAGCAACCACCAGTCAACAGCCAGCCAGAAACAGAGGTCTTGGTCATCTAAGCACAAGAAATTGTATTCTGCCAACAAGAAGATTTAGCTGACCATGAGAATGATTTTTTTCCTAGAGCTTCCAGATGAGGACTCAGTCATCAGACACCCAGATTATAGCCCTGTGGTACCCTAGTTAAAGAACTAAGCTATTCCATGTCAGAGTTTTGACCAACAGTACTATAGGCTAATAAATAGGTGTGACTGTAGGCTGTTAAGTTTGTGTCCATTTGCTATGAAGCAATAGAAAACAGGCAGCATGCTCTGTTTTTTCTACTCTTGCATCACCTTGGTCTTTCTGTTCTCCTCCATTCATTAATAAATTGCTTCTGGTTCCTCTAGGTACTAGGCTGTGGGTAGGGGAAGGTAGGAAGGTTGAGAAGAAAGTTGGGGTGTTTTTAAAATGACTTAAGTTCAGCTGTCTTCCGAGTTCATGGGAAAATAAGCCATTCTTTTTCTGCCAAACGGTGGTATTAAGGCTTGCAGGATGAAATATTTTGCTTCTGACTTCTCCAGCTGAGAAGCAGGCATAATTTTCTGTGATTATTAATATTGCAAACTCTAGAAAATGCAAGCTAGCCTTCCCAGAAATTTTCTCACTGTTCTACACTCCAATTGCCCTAAGGGAAATAGAGGGTGAAGACTGTCTTTCCTTCTCAGAGGCACTCCCAATTTCTATGCGTGATTCTCTTGGGTCACCCTCATGTCACCAGGGAATGAAATATTCCCCATCTTACTCCATGCAGAAAGGAGGAGAAAAGCCAGGACATGTTCTGTATTCCTATGTATTCCCATTAACCACTAGCTTTCTCTTACATATGTTCATTAGGGGATGAACAAGAATATTGGAAAGATTGGTAAAATCTTGTAGGGACATTTCTAGATGATTTCTATGATTGTTTGGGATATTTGCAATCTGTCCTTAGTTTTGATTCCTCTGTGAATTGAGGTAAAATTCCCATTTAAAATCCTGTTGCAAATTCTACTTTGCGAAAGTAAAAACCACCACCCTGTGCTCTATGAAAGTTCCTTTCTTGCCTACTGATAATAGTTTGGTTCTCTCGAGTTAAAATATAGCTTTATTTTCAGATATTTAAAATATCTGCTTTTTATTTTCTAAAAATCACTCTAACTACTTGGTGGAGAGTAGACTGCAGGAGGATGAAATTGGACCCTGCAATACAGATACACTTGAGGTAATCTAGACCTTCCATTAAATGGGTGATCCATGGAATGGCAGGATCAATGTCATCTGGAAGCCTGTAAGAAAAGATGAGTCTCTGGTCTTTCTTCAGACCTACTAAAGTAGAATGTACACTTTAACAAGATCCCCAGGTAATTTGTATGCTTACTAGAAATTGTGAAGGACTTCTCTAGGTGAGATTTGATGCTTGCTTATCTAGGGTGATGTGTGTGGAAATGGGGATAAGGGAATGGATACAAGATATATTTTTGAGATACAAATGACAGAATTTTAGGATGACTTGATGTCAGAAATAAGGAAAAGGAAGAAATCCAGCATGATAAGTTAGGTTTCTAGCTTGAGTAACATAGTGGTGGTTTATGAAGTTTGGGAGAGGAATATGCTTGATACAAAAAAAAAAAAAAAGCAACAAAGGTTCCAATTTGACCACATAATTATCAGGAGAATATATATATATATATATATATATATATATATACACACACATCTATATATCTACATCTCTCTCTCTCTCTCTCTCTCTCTCTGTGTGTGTGTGTGTGTGTGTGTGTGTGTGTGTGTGTGTGTATGTGTATATATATATATATATATATGTTTTTTGAGATGGAGTTTTGCTTTTGTTGCCCAAGCTGGAGTGCAGTGGCGCGATCTTGGCTCACTGCAACTTTTGACTCCCTGATTCAAGCGATTCTCCTGCCTCAGCCTCCTGAGTAGCTAGGATTACAGACGCGTGCCACCACATCCAGCTAATTTTTGTATTTTTTAAGTAGAGACAGTGTTTCACCATGTTCGCCAGGGTGGTCTTGATCTCCTGACCTCGTGATCTGCCCGCCTTGACCTCCCAAAATGCTGGGATTACAGGCATGAGCCACCACGCCCAGCCGAGAATATTTTAATAGTTATAATCCAGAGTCGTGCTTGCCTCTTATTCCTATTGTCCCTTTTCTGTTTCTACTCCATTCTAACTCCTTAGTTGAAAAACTATAATCAGTCTAGTCAGTAGCAATCTAGAGTAGATAATTTCTGTGGTTTTAAAAGGACAGAAATTACAAGGGCCCTTTCCCTGAAAATGTCTGCTTCTTTTATTTTCTTCTTATTGCCAATTCTATCCTGATAGTCAAAATTTAGTTAATATTAAATCTTTCTTCAATTGATTTTTCTACCTATTGTGAAATACAATTATCACCAAAATATGATAAAACTGTTTCAGATCCTCAATTAAGTATTAGAATTTTAAAAGAAAAATAACCAATAGCTTATTCAGAAAAAGAAAAGAAAAACAAAAAAATGCAAAAAAACCTCTTCTGTGTCTAACAATATTTTGCACAGCTTTCAAAATCAATGGTGATAATACAAAATCAGGCGTATTTTTGAAAGGGTTAGTAGGTAATTTGTGAATACCCATTGGTGGATGTGAGTAATCATCTTTTATTGGAATATATTAGACTGTACATCTTTTTAATTGCTATGTGTTTTCTGGCTTCCTGGTCAACAAAGAAGAGACACTAATCTAACATCTAAAGAACACAATACTTCATCATTGCCAGGGCAACGTCATTGGGAGTAAATCCCGAGGCAGAGCATCATAAGGATGTTGTAATTTTCATGGTGGTTATGGGGCAATTAAAGAAATGATTTTCTAAGGTGGGCCACAAGAAAACTGCTATTACATACTCTTTTTGATGTACACTATTTTATTAATACTCTGTATTTAGTGAGATTTTCTCTATGGGGCTTTTCCCCCCTTGTTTTTAGCTGCATGAAAAATAAATAACATGGGTGGGAAAATTTTCTCAAACAAAATGGCCATAGTTTTTTTTTAATTTAAAAATAATCCCTAATAAAAATAAATTTTAGGCCTAGTGCTAAATACTGAAGTATCCAGCATTTATATTTCAATTTAAAGATGAGGAAATAAAGGTAAAAAGGGGCTAAATAACTCACTCAAATTCAGTCCATAAGTAAGTAGTATAGGTGGAATTTAAACACAAGTAGTAGGGCTCCTAAATCGTATTCTTAACCTTATGTTAAAGATACTGGAACTGTATAGGGAGGAAAAAACACACACACCCCGTTCTCCCCACCAACAACAAAGAAGGAGAAGGTATTATGTTATTTCACTGATGTCACAAAAATTTGTTCTCTCTTTTCAAATTGTAAAGAGTGATTTTTATATCACATTGGATAAATTTCCATGATTATATGTCTATCAATCTCTCTCCTTTGCAAGAAACATGTAAACACATGGAGTTGCATGCTTTGAATTATATAGGCTGACTCTGAGTGTACTGCCTATGAGTTAGCTCTGCTCCATAAGGAGTAGTAATAAAAATAAATAAATAAGTAAGATAACTGAGCATCTTTGATCATGATTTAATAATTGCAAATAATACTTATAGCCATTTCCCTGGAATTTTATCTCTTGATTAGAGATAATAAAAATCTTCACAATTATCTTTATTGAATAATTTTTACTAGGATAATTTGCTGGTGTTGGGATAGCATTAGGAAGACATAGTAATCTTTAATAGAGTTTATGACAATTTTTATTTTTTCTAATTAACATTTTGTTTACTAGAATTCCAAAAGGCACAAAGTACAGCTGGCTTATTGATATTAGACAAATCTATTTCCCCAAATATTTACTAAACCTGAGTGCTGGTTTTCTCCTCCAATCGCTTTCTAAATATGTTGTGCTTCTAAATAGGGTCTCTATTAGCCCTTTCACTGGGCAAATTCTTTACTCTGCATAGCTCTCATACATATTTCAGGGCATTTAGTGTCTGTGTCCCCTGGTCATTGCAAGCCGGTGATAACCAAAACTTCCCCTACATTTCCAAATCACCCTGATTGAGAACAATGGAAAAAATTAGGGGGAAACAATAAGTAAACATTCCTACCACGTATTTGTCCTCTCCTCTCCTTCTCTTGATGCACAACAGACCAATTTTATCACCCAATAGGAGGCACTTAAAAAAGGAGAGTTTCATTAGGTATGGTATAATGGGGAAAACAATGAAGGAAAGCAAGTGATACAACCTCCTCTCAGGAAAATCACTCATCATCCAGACATTCTCCCTCGTGACGGGTGTGGCTAGAAAGGAGCAGCTCATTAATGGCCATTTTTGGGACATGACTTGATGGCTAATGTTCTATTCCAGCAGTTTGTTTTTACAATTGAATGTCATAGAAAAGGTGTACTGTCTTAGAGTCTTATCCAAATAAACAAGTTGTACAACTCTATCACTGCTTCTTGCCAAGGCTTCAGTCCTATCATAGTCCTCTTAGCATGTTTCTTTGTGTCACATTTCTTGTGTCCATCACAGCTATGTCTGGTGGTCACAGCTAACTCTACCCTAGGATTTGGAAGCTCTTTCTTGTTAATTGATTTTCTTCACCATAATTAGAGCATAGCAATACTTAGGAATGTAAATATTTATATTTGCACTCTGAGGAGTATAAAATTATCTCTAATTCAATGTCTATTTAAAACCCAAACCTCAAAACATTCTGTACATTAGCTAATCTAATCTGATCTTAAACTTAATGTAATTCACAATTTGACATTCCTTAATGTGAAATCATCACGTATAGAGCATTTAATGCAATTATTGTCTGCATAGTTCATATTAATAATAGGACAAGTTTGTGAAATGTTTATTATATTTAATAGTTATTGGAAGTTACTTAAGTTTTCATATATTACAAGTTCTTAGAAATCAGGAACTTTGCTTTATTCCTCCTTGGATGAATAAAGCCCTGGAGCAAGGCTGGGAAGAGAGGATGCTCCAAACAAATTTTTCATTTGCAATATTTGTATTTCCCGTCAGTTTTCAGACATAATATGCAAGAACAATCTTCTGTGAAATCACTTCACTCCTTTGCACTGATCTGAAGCCAATTATTAAGACATCTGTGCTCAATGTCAATAAGATGTACAGCATTGTGATTTACCAGCTAACTTCATTACTGGCTTTGGCACTGTCAGTTTTTTAACAAACTGCTAACGGATAAAGTAATAAGAGTACTAGAAAACATATTGCCTGTAGGAGCTGTTGTTATTGAGGGCAAAAGGGTAGAGAGTGTATACATTTCTCAGAAATATGAATAATTAAAGATTCCTTTAAATTAGAGTCACCTTGCAGCTGAAGCCACATCTTACAAGAAACAAAAAGTTTTGCTATGGCTTCTATTTGATAGCTTTGTTATGCAACTGTATCATAAGTACTATGCCAATTTAAGTGTTTAAAATGTATTTATTGTGATGAGTTGACATGTGGTCATTTTTCAATTACATTAATTCATTTATATTACTGATAATGATAATGACAACAAAACTTCATCTTTTATGTCTAAATCAACTAAATATCTAACTACTTTAGAAAGTGCTTACTTAAAAACCAGTATCATTAGTTTGCATGAGAGTACTTTTTTGTTAATATTGCCTCATTATTTTAATTTTTAAAGAATGAAAACAATTTCCTGAATATTGAGTAAATAAAATGAAATTTATATTACTGTCTACTAGCACTTGCTGCTTAAGCAAAATTATGAACACATTAGAAAGGCCAAAAGGCACTGGTTGTCATTATGAAAGCATATGCTTTGGCTCTAAGGTATACTAAAAAATAGTTCCTTTTCTTGGGCCTTTTTCTTTGGCTTATGTGTTCTATTTTTATCTATTTCCACATATCAAAACTACCCTTTCAGGTGTTATATCTGCTCAGAGTCCTTCTCCCTTAGCAGACTAATGTAATAAACATTTGCATTATTTAAGAGTTTCACATGTAAATCCATTATCCCATTTCAGAAACCATATTTACTCTATCAGAAAGGCTTATTAGAAGTCTAACTATTTGCTCTCACTTTCCTGGGACACTAAAGTAGATTTTAGGAAACACTAAGGTCTTGGCATGCTCAATTCCTCTTATGATGGAAGTGACCAGGTCAGGGTCCCTTCCACAAGTGGCCAGGCTTTCTGTCATCTGATTGGGCTACCATGGCATGATGTATTGTACTGGGGATATGCACCATAGCAAAGACATTTCTATGCTAGCTTGAAACAAGATCATTGCCCAATAGTGTTGTCTCAAACTAGAGAATTACCTACTGATCCATTTAGATTGTATCTCCTGGGGAGATTGAATATGAAGCAGAGAGAAAAAGAGGAAATCATAGTAGAAGATAGTAGATGGGAATACGGTAGGCATAGAGGCCAAAAAGTGTAAAGGAGAAGAGTGACTTATTGTGTTATAGAGTCCCTAGATAGGGTGCATTAGATGCTCTCTGTTGAGGGAAAGACAAGCTGAGAAGTTCAACCGGCTGATATTCGTGCTGCAGAGCCACTGCTGCATCCTGAATGGCAAAGTGTACTTATCAAATTTTTCTGCTGAAACACTTTCTCAAATTCCCTCTTTCATGTAGCTTTACAAGTAAAACTTCCTTATATGAGGTAACCTCTACATCTCTATTCTACTATAATCTGTAAAATCTAAACTAATGAAATTTCTCCACGTGCTCCTTTCACCATTGCACAAGATTTTATAGCATTATTCTTGCAAATGCAGGTGATTTCATGCAGAGCTCAGTGGAGTCTCTCTAGATAACTCTGGTTGCCACTACTCATTTCATCTATATCACAGGTACCCTCTAATTTGTAGTTCCAAAGTCCTGGTACTTTGGATTGAGAATTGTGTTTGTTTTAACTCAGTCTTTTTTCTTTCTTTATTTCTTTTATTATACTTTAAGTTTGGGATACATGTGCAGAACATGCAGGTTTGTTACATAGTTGTACATGTGCATGGTGCTTTGCTGCACCCATCAACCCATTATCTAGATTTTAAGCCCTGCATGCATTAGGTATTTGTCCAAAGCTCTGCCTCCCCTTGCCCCCCTCCCCCCGACAGGCCCCGGTGTGTGATGTTCCCCTCCCTGTGTCCATGTGTTCTCATTGTTCAATTCCCAATTATGAGTGAGAACATGTGGTGTTTGCTTTTCTATTTCTGTGTTAGTTTGCTGAGAATGGTGGTTTCCAGCTTCATCCATGTGCCTGAAAAGGACATGAACTCATTCTTTTTTATTGCTTCATAATATTTCATGATGTATATGTGCCACATTTTCTTTATCCAGTCTATTATTGATGGACATTTGGGTTGGTTCCAAGTCTTTGCTATTGTGAATAGTGCTGCAATAAACATATGTGTGCATGGGTCTTTATAGTAGAATGATTTATAATCCTTTGGGTAAATACCCAGTAATGGGATTGCTGAGTCAAATGGTATCTCTGGTTCTAGATCCTTGAGGAACTAGAACATGTAATTTCTAATTTAAATTATAATCTATAGAAGAACTATCCCAGCAGGATAATGGACTTTTCTAGGCCCATTTTCACTATGTGTCGGGTGCCTTAAAATATATAGTTTCAAAGTCTTAGAGATTTTTATTGAGAATTTGTAAACTTCAAAATGCCAAGCTTCTTTATCTTATATAAATATATATGTATAGAGAATATATAAATCTGGAATATGTTATACTTGTTTATAATGATGATCTTAAAACAATTCTGAAGTACATGGTGATGAATATACTTAAAATAACTTGTGAATATATTTTATAAGTTTATTGAGGAATAAGTGGCATACAATAAAATGCATATATTTCAAGTATAAAATTTAATAATTTTTTATACAGGCATATAACTATGAGTCCAGAACTACATCTAAAAAATGAACATACCTATCACTTCCAAATTTCCTTCTGCTGTACCATCTCTCTCTCCTTCTCCTCCCATCCCCAAGCATACACTAATCTGCTTTCTTGACACTACAGATTACTTAGAATTTTATCTAAATAAAATTTGTACATTTTGTCTATTTTCTTTTACTTGAAATAATTATATTAAGGTTTATCCATGTTGTATCAATAGTTCATTACATTTATTAATTTTTTATTACTTTTATTGCTGAGTAGTATTGCATTATATGACTTGTTTATCCCCTCACTTGTTGGCATTTGGGTTGTTACCACTTCTTTTTAGTAAGCAGCTATTAACAGTCATATATGTCAATTGTAAGAACATATCTCTTATTTATCTTGAGCAACAGCTAGGAGAAGAATGAATGGGTCATATAGTAGTTACATGGTTTTCACATTTATTTACTTACAAAAATGCCAAGCTGATTCCCAGTCACTTTGGGGTTCTAGTTCTTCTGTTTCCTCATGCACATGTAGTATGGTCAGCCTATTTTTTTTTTTAATTTTAGCTATTCTAATATGTATGTAGTAATGTTTCACTGTGTTTATTTTATTTAACAAATACCCAGGCTGGGCATGGTGGCTCACTCCTGTAATCCCAGCACTTTGGGAGGGCAAGGTGGGAGGATTGCTTGAGGCAAAGAGTTCTAGACCAGTCTGGGGAACATAGCAAGACACCATCTGTGCAAAAAGTAAAAAATAAAAGATTAGCTAGGTATGGTGCTGTGCACCTGTAGCCCTAGCTATTCAGGAGTCGGAAGGTGGAAGGATTACTTGAGCCTAGGAGTTCAAGGTTGTGGTGAGCTATAATCACACTATTGTACTACAGCCTGGGCAAGAGTGAAACCCTGTCTCTAAAAAACAAAGAAACAAACAACAACAACAACAAACTAATCAAGTTGCATGACTCTTTCTGAGCTCAGTTATTATCTACCTTTGTATCTTTCTGTTTTTATTGTTGTTGAGGTACCTGTTTACATCTTGCAGTCACTTTTTAAAAATGGGTTTGTTTGTTTTATTATTGGATTTTGTGGTACTATATATTCTAGATAAAAGTAATGTATTATTATTTTAGTTATAAATATTTTCCCAGTCTGTGACTGCTCTTTTCATTCTCCTAACATTATTTTTAAAGAGCAGAAGTTTTTAATTTGATGATGTCAAAGTTATTTTTTTTGCATTTTATGGATTATGATTTGTCATATTTTTAAAATCCTCTATAACTTGAAATCATAAATGTTCTTCTATACTTATTCAATAATTCTCCAAGTTTTCAATTTTATACTAAAGTTGGTGTTCTATTTCATATATTTTTGTATGATGTGGTATGTATGTTACTTTTTGTGTAAGTATCCAATTGTTGAAATGACTATCAATTCTCTGTTGAATTGCCAGCACCTTTGTCAAGTATCAACTGTCTATATGTGTTTAGGTCAATTTCTTAACTCTTCATATTCTTCTTTTGATTTAATTGTCATACCCAATGAGACACCACACATTCTTGCTTACAGTATCTTCATAGGAAGACCTGAAATAGGAAGTATTCATTTTGCCTTTCCAAAATTATACTTTGTATTTTGATATGCATTTTAGGAATAGTTTTAACTTTCTACAAAGTGATGCCTGCTGCATTTTAGATTGGAATTGCGTTAAATCTATAGATCAATTTGAAGAAAATTGACATCTTAAAAATATTCAATATTCTGACCTTTAAGCCAACTGTATCTCTCTATAAGGTTGTCTTAGTCTGTTTCTGCTGACATAACAAAATACTACAGACTAATTTATAAAGAACATAAATATATTTCTCCCAGAACAAAAATATAGTTCTGGAGATTGAGAAGTTCATGATCAAGATTCCTCCAGGTTCAGTGTTTGTTGAGGGCCCCACTTTCTGTTTTCAAGATGGCGTCTTGTTCCTGCATCCTCCGGAGGGTATGAATAGTGTGTCCTCACATAACTGAAGGCTGGAGAGAAAAATAATTTAAGTGCTTCTCTCCAATCTTTTTATAAGGCACAAATCCATTGATTAGAGTCCTCATGACTTATTTACTTCCCCAAACGCCCACCTTTTTATACTACCAGAATGGGGATTAAGTTTGGGCATGATTTTTGGAGGAGACATACTTTCAAAACATAGCAGCATTAAATTTTCTGAACAATATTGTGTAGTTTTTACTCTATGGGTCTTTCAGTTTTTGTCTTTTTTATATCTTTGTATTTCATATTTATGTCACTACATTAAATAGTAATGTTTTTAAATTGTATTATCTGACTGAAATGTGTTAGTGTGTAAACATGTAGTTAACATTTTGTTGATCTCTTATGTTGGTACCTTATTAAGCTGTTAGTTGTAGTAGAATACTTTTTTAAAAAAGAGTCCATTAGATTTTCTACATAGATGGTTGTGTTTTCCATATATAGAGACAGTTTTATCTCTTCCATTTTAATCTTAATACTTCATTTATTCTTTCTCTTATTGCACTGGATGTGAGTTCAAATACAATGTTGTACAGACATTTCTTGTATTTTTACTAATTTGTGCTGGAACAAATTTAGTCTTTCACCATTAAATAAGATGTTAGCTGAGAGAGTGACATAAGCAAGATGGAGGAGAAGGAAGTCCTATATCCCCCTTCCCATTACAAATCTGCAAAACACACAGATTGATTCAATGGCATTTCATGGACACATTTTATTTTTTTAAAATCAGAACCTAATTAAAAAGGCCCTTGCATCCTGGGAGAATGAAAAATTGGAATCATGGAAGCAGACAGGATATTTTAAGGCACCTTCTTGTCAGAGATCCTGTACTTGGCCTAGTACTGTATAATCAAGAAGCACCCCCACTAGATCCCAGATTTACCCAGGGGAAAGATAGGGTTGGTTCACATGTCCAACACCCATACTTTTTGAGGGTCCTCCTCCAGAAAAATGACTACAGACTAGTCATTCTTTAACCTTTGATGGGTCTGGCATAGTCTATCCATCCATGAGAAAATAAAGGCAGCATCTTGGGCTGATGGATGCCAGAGACTTTATTCACTGCTTGGTATAAAATGAGCCAATGAAAAATTTTGGCTTTCAGCTTGCCCCTGGAAAGAGAAATAGTTGATCCATGCTTCCAGTACCCCAGATTCTCTAAAGATGTTTAACAATCTAGCACCTGTCTCACCAATCCTGGTGCTCTGATGAGTCAGGCATTATTTTGCAAGCTGTGGGAGAAAGTGGCAACTGGGGTTGGTGGATTGCATAGTTCCCCCATTTGCCATCTCCTGGCTCAGTACAGAGTGAGTAGACAAAAACACAGCTACCTGACTTTCTCTAGATTGAGAAAGAGTTGGAAGAGGCCCCAGAATCTCTGACTGGACTGATTTGTACAGATTTTTTTCCTGTACAAGGCCAAGATGTGAAGAATGGAAGAGGTACGTGATTTTTCCAATGCAGAGACTCAAACACAAAGAGTCAAGGAAAATGAAGAATCTGGCAAAGATATTTCAATAAATGAAACAAAATTCAGAAGTGGCCTTAATAAATGGAGTTGTATGATTCATCTGACACAGAATTAAAATAACTCTTATAAAGATGCTCACCCAGGTAAAGAGAATAATGCATGAATAATCAGAGCATTTTAACAAAGAAATAGAAAACATTAAGAAGTACCGATTAGAAATTGTGAGGCTGAAGGACGTAATAACTGAATTTAAAAATTCGCTAGAGTGTTGAATAGCAGACTAAAGTATAAGAAAGGATCACAGACCCAAAGTCTGTTGACTAGAGATAATTGAGTGAGAGGAGCAAAAAGACAAAGAAAATTATAAAACAGAGTGAAGAAACTTTATGAGAATTATGGGACACCATCAAGCATACTCATATATGCATATAAGGGTCCCAGAAAATGTAAAGAAAAAGAAGGTAGTAGAAAGCTTATTCAAAGAAATAATAGCTAAAAGCTTCCCAAACCTGGGTAAGAAAATGGACATACAGATTCAAGAAGCACAAAGGACACCACATACGCTATATCTCTCCAAATACACACCCAGGCATATTATAATCAAATCATCAAAATTCAAAGACAAATAATTTTGAAAACAACAGGTAAAAAGTGATTTGTAACACACAAGGCAACTTTCGTAAGACCATCAGTGGTTTGTTTTCACCATAGTCTTGCAGACCAGAAGGGAGTGGGATGATAGATTCAAAGTGCTGAAAGAAAATAAAAGCCAACCAAGAATACTACCACTAGCAAAACTCTTCTTCAAAAATGAAAGTGAGATATTTTCTCAAGCAAAAGGCTATATCTCTACGGGACCTATGTGTAAGAAATACTAAAGAGAGTTCTTCAGGTTGAAACAAAAGACCCTAAAGAGCCACACTATTACTGTAATGATGGTGGCTAAGTCACTTTATGATATAAAAGTTAAAAGTATTAGGAATATGTTAAATTTTCACAATATGAATAGATATAAATTTTGACAAAAATAACATAAAATCTGTGTGTTGGGAAGAGAAATTAAAGTATTTTGCATGTGATTGAACTTAAGTTATTATCAGCTTAAATAAGCTATTGTAACTGTAAGATATTTTATGTAAGTCCCAAGAAAACCACAATAAAATACCCATAAAATTTCATAAATGAAAAAGAGGGATACGTGAAAGCATATTAATAGAAAAATAATCAAAACAATATAAAGAAAGACATCGAGAGAGGAAAAGACAGAAGAACTGCAAGACTAACCTGATGCCACTAAAAATGGCAATACTAAATCTTTTGCAAATAATAATATAATGTAAATGTAAATGGATTAAATCTTCCTAATAAAAAATATGGGGTAGCTGAATAAATTTTCAAGACTGAAAAATATGCTGTTTACTAGAAATTCACTTTAGATTTAAGTACAAACATAGGCTGAAAGTGAAGTGAAGTTAAAAGATATTCCATGCAAATGGTAACCAGAAAAGAGCAGTAGCTATACTTAAATATTAGACAAATAGACTTTTAGTCAAAAACTGCCACAAAATAAAAGGACAGATATTTTATGATAACAAACTATTCAATCAACCAGAAAGAGATAATGGTTGTAGATATATGTGCATTCAACATGAGAGTCCTTAAATATATAAAACAAATGTTGAAAGATTTGAAGGAAAAAAACATAGTAATGCAATAATAGTAGGAGATTTCATTCCCCTATTTTCAATAATGTACAGAACATAAAGATAGGAGATCAGTAAGGAAATAGAGGATTTAAATAACACTCTAGACCAACTGAACCTAATAGTCATGTACAAAATATTGTGTTAAACAGTGGCAGAATTCACATTTTTCTCAAACACACATGGATCTACCTCCACGATAGATCATAGGTTAGGTCACAAACCAAGTCTTAAAAGAATAAGATGATCTTTTCTGGTTATAATGGAATAAAACTACAAATCAATAGTTAACAGACAACTGGAAAAATCACAAATATATGGATAATAATAACACACTCTTAAACCACTATGACGTCAAAGATCAAGTTTAAAGAGAAATTATAAAATATCTTGAGACAAATAGACAAACATGACATTATAATATTTATTGGATGCAGCAAAAGCAAGACTAAGAGAGAGGTTCATAGAAATAAACACTACATTTAAAAAAAAAAATCTCAGCCGGTCGCGGTGGCTCACACCTGTAATCCCAGTAGTTTGGGAGGCCGAGGCGGGTGGATCACCTGAGGTCAGGAGTTCGAGACCATCCTGACCAACATGGTGAAACCTCATCTCTACTAAAAATACAAAAAATTAGCTGGGCGTGGTGGTGGGCGCCTGTAATCCCAGCTACTCAGGAGACTGAGGCAGGAGAATCGCTTGAACCTGGGAGGCGGAGGTTGCAGTGAGCCAAGATTGCGCCACTGCATTCCAGCCTGGATGACAGAGCGAGACTCTGTCTCAAAACAAAACAAAACCCTCAAACTACCAAACTTTATACCTCAAGAAAACACAAAAAGGAAAATGAACTGAGCCCAAATTAGTAGAAGGAAAGAAATAAATAAATGAAATAGAAAATAAAATACAATAGAAAAAAATCAACGAAATTTAAGAGTTGGTTTTTTTCAGTGATCAAACTGACAAAGCCTTTGCTAGATTAGGAACAACAGAGGTGATTCATAAAGAAAATCAGAAAAGAAAGAGGAGGCATTAAACTGATACCATAGAATTAAAAAGGATCATAAGCCACTGCTATAAACAAGTATTTGCGAACAATCTAAGTAACCTTGATGAAATGGATGACTTCCTAGATATATACAATCTACCAAGAGTAAATCATGAAGAAATAAAAAGTCTTGCCTACAGCTAATATGTTAATTGAATCAGTAATCAAAAACTTCCCAAAACAAAAGCCAGAACTAAATATATTCACTGGTAAATACTACCAAGGACTTAAGGAAGAATTAATGACATCCCTTCTCACTATCTTCCAAAAAATTTAAGAGAATAAAACCTTTCCAAACTCATTTTGTAAGGCCTGAATTACCTTGATAACAAAGCCAGAAAGACACTACAAGAAAAGAAAACCATAGGACAACATCCGTGATGAATATGGATCTAAAAAAACTTCAACAAAATACTTCAACGAAATCTAACAGCACATTGACAGTATCAATTATACCCCATGACTAATGGGATGCATGGATGATTAAACATAGGAAAATCAATGTGATAAGCCACATTAACAGAATAAAGGTTTAAAATCACATGATTATCTTAATGATGAAGATAAAGGATTTGACATAATTCAACAATCTAGCAACAGATGGAATGTACCTTAACATAAGGGATGTATATATAACAATACCAGAGCTAACATCATACTGAATAGTAAAATGCTGAAAGTTTTTTTTCTACAATGGGAACAAAGTAATGATGTCCACTCTTGTCCCTTAACATTGTACTTGAAGTCGCAGCCAGAATACTCAGGGAAGGGTAAAAAAAATGCTTCCAAATTAGAATGAAAGAAGAATTATTGTTCTTATTTTCAAATGGCATGATCTAATATGTAGAATAGCTTACAGACTACATAAAAAACTGTTAGGACTAATACAAATTCAGTAATGTTGCAAGATGCAAAATCAATTGTATTTCTATACACCAACAAAGAAGTATTTGAAAAGAGAATTAGAAAAACTATAGCATTTGTAATAGCACCAAAAAGAATAAAATACTTAAAAGTAAACAACTAAGGAGGTATACTTGTATACTGAAAACTGAAAATAATTAAGGAGAAAAACTAAGACACAAACACGTGGAAAGACATTTCATGTTCATAGATTGGAAGACTTAATATTGTTCAAATGTACGTACTACCCAAATGATCTACAGATTCAATGCAATTCCTATCAAAATTGCAGAAGTAGAAAAAATTCTAAAACTTATATGGAATCACAGAAGACCAAAATAGTAAAAGTAATTTAGAGAAAGAAGAAAAAAGGTAAAGGCATCATATTTCCTGGATTTGAAATATGTTATAAAGTCATAGTAATCAAAATAGTATGGACTGACATGAAAACAAACGTATAGACTAATGGAACAGAGTAGAGAGATGATAAATCAATCCACACATAGACAGTCAACTGATCTTCAAAAAAGACACTAAGGAAACAATAGGGAAAAGATAACATTTTCAACAAATGGTATTTGCAAAACTGTATATCCACATGCAAGATAATGAAATTGGATAATTATCTTATTCCGTACAAAAACTCAGATTAGATAAAGTAACTGTAAGATAAGGCAACTGTTATTCACACTTCACAATAAACTCATTGTTTATTAAAAGTTTTAAATAAATTTGTATTTTGCATGTAATTAAAATGTTATTGTTAGGTTTAAGTCTTACTGTGAAAAAATAATCTTTGATAGTTTTTTGTCTTAATTCTCATTTTCTTTTTTAGGTTTGACTTTCAGAAGCATAACCTGTGATTAAGGAAATGCAACAAGTAAAATTTTCTGAGATTGTGAATCATTTTCTCATAACAATATACTCCTATAATAAAAAAATACATATTAACTACATGTAATATATGTACTAAAACACTCATTGACCAAAAATGGAGATGAAAATTTACATTTAATTCTATTGACAACTTGCATTTAACTCAGGTCTTTGTTAATGTTGTTTTCATAATAGTAATAACTGCTTTATTAATAATTATTATGTTTAATATATGCAGAGGAATGCTAATAGTAAAGACTTCCCTTTCAACTTCTCATGCCAGAGGTAAAATATGAATACCTTATTTGTTGTTGACAGGCTTATAGACATGTGCCTGTGTTTCTTGTTTAAAACATTATGTCTCCCAGAAATGTATTTGCTAGCTAGAGGCAGTTTGACATGTGCACGTCTCTTGCTGCCTGCAGTAATAAGCAACACCAAATGTAGACAGGTAAAATGTGACATCACAACAGCAGAATATGAAAATGTGTATTCTAAGGCAAATATCACATTCATGTCTCTTGTTTCTATTAACAAATAATGTCAATGGCAAGCTCAATTATTTTGCTCAAATTGAAAAAATAAAGTGAATAAATACCTTTAAAATAGCCTTATTTGGGAAACAATATTGCCTATAACTGAAAAACTGAAGGCAGATGTCAGATTTTGACAGCATATTTTTAATATATCTCTTCAAATGTGAAATCCAATCATGTTCACCCTCTCCCATGCCATTTAATCCCTCTCCTTGAGACATTCCACTTCCCAAAATGCTATAATGAAAGCCAGAGTTCATGGCAAAACTCTAAGCTCCCTTACCTCTCATTAGTTGAATCCAGCTTTGTCAAATTTTATTTCAGCTCTTTCCTGTGGCTCAAGTGAAATTCAGACCTCTATTGATATAAAAAATGTACAGGAAGTAGCAGGGTAATTTATTCCCAAAGGAAATATAGTGCAGTTTAATAATGTATTGGGAAGATGTGGCCAGGTCAGCCTGTTATTTATCCTTTTGGCTATGCTATTTTATTTTGAAGTCAGCAGAAATAAAACAACAACATTCTGTATACAATAGTTCACTTACTATTTACTTTTGTGTTAAAAAAAAAGTACTGAAGAAAATTCTTTTACATTTTCCCCCACTTGATTTGTGTTTGCTCAAAATTCACCTGATAAGGATTAGGAATATAATAGAAAATATTTTGAAAAGTACTGAAGTCAGTTTTCACATGGAATAACATGATTTCTAATATTTAAACTTCAAAAATAGAATGGGCTGCCTTATGAGCCAGTGACAAAGCTGACCAAAGAAAATTTTAAAGCACCTGTCATGTATTCTGTGGAACGAAGGACTTCTGTCTTCAGAAATATCTGCCCTTTCATAGAACTTTTCTCTGGAATTTATCATCACAGTCTTTGTTTATATTTTGTGGATATATTTCTTAATTTTCTTACCTGGATGTAAATAATGGAAGAGTTGGTAACATGTTTTATTCACTGTTTTCTTCATCACAGAGTCTTGCTCAGACTATATTTTAATAAAAGTATTTAATTTAGTAATAATAGTAGTATATCACATTTGTAAGATAGTGTATAGATACCTATTATTGATTATCTCATTGAATATTTAAAAAAACACTGTGAGACAAGTACTATATTCTGCATTTTCATCAAAGAAAATCAACATTAGAGATTTTAAGTAAATGCATGAATGAGTGAATATATAAATTAATTAGCAAACAAACATATGAATAAGCATATACCTGAGAACCTGAACTAGATATTATAAAAATATAATCTCTCTCTATGAATATAAAAGCATTATATTCTGTTTATAAGAGCTATGTATTAAAATTTAATGAAAAGATTATATATATTACCATCACCATCCTTTTAACTTCTTTTTTAGGCATCCTTTATACTACTTCTCAAAGGTAGCATATATCAATAGTTTCATTTTTGGTGCTATAAAAATGAAGGAGAGTGCAGAGTACAGATTAATTATGTAGAACTTCATATAGCATCTACAGATTCACATTTATCAACAGACTTCTGGCTTTATTCCCAATTAAATTCCTTTCAGTAAACATTTAATGAGCCTCTGCAAAGTACTGAATAATACAATGAAACATTCATATTACTTAGAGATGTAGCTTGTAGACTCATTGAAATGGTCTCTCTTGGAGTTATATGTGACATCAAGTAGACCTGCTGATTTGTGTTTTATTGGATTACTAGTTGCTTGGTATTTTTAAACAGCTAGAAAATGATTCTCTACTAAAGACCAGTGTGATACCCTTTGACATAATGGAAAAAAATTCAACATTATAGTAATGTTGATATACCCCTGAGGAGGATTTAGATATTCATATTTTTCCTGTATTATGAAGCTTGTGGTTTTATAGTTTTACACTTAGGGGATAAGTTACGTATTATTTTGCAAGGTTGAATTTTTGGTCTTTTGGTGTTTTTATTTCTTTTTCCTATCGCTGAAAGGACAAAAAGATTATTGAAAGGGAAATAAAATATTTAGACGTATCAGTTATAATTCAATGAAGACATGAGTAAGTAGGACACTGAAATTTATCAGAAAATTGACTTTTTTTTAAAGCAAATGCCTTGATGTAATATCAATAAAACTAATAAATGTTGTTTCAGATTATCTTTGAAAATTATGACAGTCTAAAATAAAGCTAAAAATTGAGTCCCTCCTCTGACCTTATAACAAACATCTGTTTTAACCTTCAGTGGTATGGTGAGAATAAGATAGCTTTGTACTATGAATTTGGTCTTTTTTTTTTAGAATTTTTTAATCTCTGATTTTTCATCTCTAAATTGGAAAACATTTTGCAATTAAATGGGGTTAGTATAAGATTCAGATAAAGAATGTAAAAATGTTAGCACAGTACTACACATAGAGCTAATATTCATGTTTTTACCTTTCTTTTTTCATCATTCAAATCTTCCACAACTTGCTAGTTCAACCCTCCATGAGTCTTTTTCTTTTCATTAGGCCAATACAGAATGATGGTACTATCTTCTAATCATTCTTGTAAGTTAAAATCTGTGCCACATATATTTAATTATTATAGTCAGATTTCTCATGAACTATTTATAACTCAAATGCCATAAACTTATTAGTAGAAAGTGCATAATTCTAGGGGAAAGAAATACTTGGCCAAAATTCATTAGGCTTATGATCACTGATATGTTTTTTAACCTCAGTTTACTCATCAGTGAAATGAGGGTTGTCATACTGCTCCATGGGTTTTTTTATTTTTTATTTTTTTTGGTGATAACATTAAATGTGATAACAGTAGTAAACCCTTCATGTAAATTACATGACCTAGTGTAAATCTTCAGTGTTTGTTAGTTTCTTTCCCCTCCCAACCCCTTCTTTTCCTTTCTCAACCGTGCAGTTTGCTCCTTAGAGATAATAATCAGGATTTATTTACCAAGGGACTATTTAACAGATTTAATTTTATCTTTGTGCACATCTCAAAGTTAACCACCTTTATCTAAAATAGTGGTTTTTTTTACTTCATTATATATGGAAATCATCTGGCGGTCTTGATAAAATGCAGAGCAAATTCAGCAGGTCTGAAGAGGGACCAGAAATTCTGCATTTCTAACAAGATCGCAGGTGATATCAGTGATGCTGCTCACAGACTGCACTTTCAGTGCCAAGCATTAAACTATTATAAATTTAGCTAGAAAGCTGTTGTAGCTATAAAAGCCATCTAATAATAGAGTAAGTAGGAACAAAGCTAAAACAGAGTAGTAGTACTGAGGAGAGCAAAAGTGTGTTTTGCACAGTCATTTTGATGTGATTTCAAACATTGTGTTATCTGTGTTGTTCCAAAGACTGTATTACTTTTTTTTTTTTTTTCTTTAACCCTGCTCTGACTTTTGTATAACAGTGACTTAAAGTACCTGTTGAATTTCCGGATCCCTCTCCTGGGTTCATTAAAAAAATAAATAAAAATATATATATATTTAACTGGAAACCTGAGCTAACCAGGAATCCCTAGAAAACACAGTTTGGTGACAGCCTCTGTATAAACATCTTATCTGCATACGCACCTCCAGAAATGAAGAATAAGGAAAAAGATGAATAAGACAAGGCAAGAGGGAGAAAAAGTAAAATGAAGTGTGTTTCCTAGCTGGCCCCAAGTCTATATAATTAGCATAGTTCAATTCAATTCATTCAATTTTAGGGGAGCCTTCAAAGAGGCTGTGTGCACTATTTGTCCTTTTAACAGGCCATCCTGGGAGAGTAAGAAATTGCTGTGGCTTTGCCAGCCAGATTACACAAGCAAGGTGGCAGGAAATGAGTTGCACAATCCTGGTTAGACCAATATCTGGTTTCTGGTTTCGTCACTAATAGGTTTGCCTCCTTTCATCTCTTAACCACTCCTGTTCCTCCCTCCAAAGTATAAGCTGTAACAACATATATGATTTTATGATTGAATTTTCATCTCAGATAATATATAACAAATTGCTTACATGCATGAATTGTGATATTTTGATAACAGAAATTAATTCTTATGTGTTTTATGAGGTGGCATGAAAGCAGCTTTCAACATGTACCTTATAAAAAATTGAGAATATTTCATAAAACCAGTAAAAAACACATACAATCAAAGGGTAAATAGAAGATCCACTTTTTTTTTCTAAAAGACTATAGTCACAGCCACAACTACTTTTTCCTAGGAAATAATAATTATACTCTATTCTTATGCTTTTAATTGCAGAGTTGAATTGATGAAATGCATAAAATTATTTAATTGGATAATATGGTATTTGGTTAGATTATTATATTAATTTTGATAATGATAATTCTAATGTCTCTCATTAGTGATAAGTATTGGTTTTAAAATGATTCTAAAGGAACTTTATATAGCCACTTAATTTAGTGACTAAGCAGTGCTTGGCATGGAGTGCACAAACACAAATTGTTAGAAAACTGGAAGTTTTACTTTACTCTCATTTGTCAGTAGTGTAGATTGTGGTTATTTATTTCTTATGTATCAATATTGTTTAGGAAGAAACTCTTTTTTTCTATTAAATTATTGCATACTTCTGATCACCTTTCCAGTTCTTCAAATATAAAGGGGTGTGTAATCTTTTCTATCCAAAGTTTAGCAGAACTGCATGGATTCAAGGTGGCAAATTCATTTTCTACTTTTTAAAAAAAACATTTTGAAGGACAAAGGTTTGATGATAATAATAACATAAAATAAATACATAATACCCGGTGAATGAAAGAATTGGTCCACAAATGAACTGACCTCATAGAATGGGTTAGGAAGTCCCTCCTCCTTAATTTTTCAGAATAGTTTCAGTAAAAGTAGTACCAGCTGTTTTATTTCTTTACATCTGATAAAATTTGGCTAATAATCTGTTTGGTCCTGGGATTTTTCTGGTTGGTAGGCTTTTTATTAGTGATTCACTTTGGAGCTCATTGTTGGTCTTTTCTTGGATTCAATTTTTTCCTGGTTCAATCTTGGGAGATTGTATTTTCCCAGTAATTGAATCATTTCTTCCAGGTTTTCTAATTTGTGTGCATAGAGGTGTTTGCAGTAGTTTCTGAGGGGTTTTGTTGTTGTTATTGTTGTTTTGGTTTTTCTGTGTGGCTCATGGTAATGTCCCTTTTGTCATTTCTGATTGTGTTTATTTGGATCTTCTCTATTTTTTAATTTATTCTTCTAGCTAGCTAGCATTCTATGAATCTTATTTATTCTTTTTCAAAGACTCAACCACACAATCCATTGATCTTTTGTATGGTTTTTCACTTCTCAATTTCCTCCAGTTCAACTCTGATTTTGGCTATTTCTTATTTTCTTACTACCTTTGAGGTTGGTTTGCTGTTGTTTCTCTAGTTCCCCTGGGTGTGATATTAGATTGTTAATTTGCAATCTTTCTAACTTTTTGATGTAGGTGTTTAGTGCTGTAAACTACCCTTTTGACACAGCTGTAGCTGTGTCCCACATATTCTGGTAAGTTGTATATCTTTGTTCTCATTAGCTTGAAAGAATTTCTTGATTTCTGCCTTAATTTCATTGTTTACCCAAAAGTCATTCAGGAGCAGGTTGCTTAATTTCCATGTAAAGTATGGTTTTGAACAATTTTCTTATTATTGATTTCTATCTTTAAGGTGCTGTGGTCTGAGAATGTGTTTAGTATGATTTTGGCTTTTATGAATTTCCTGAGGATTATTTTGTTGCTCATTGTGTGGTCAATTTTAGATTATGTGCCATGTGCCGATGAGAAGAATGTATGTTCTGTAATTTTAAGGTAGAAAGTTCTGTAGATGTCTGTTAGGCCCATTTGGTCAAATGTTGCATTTAGGTCTCATATATTTTAGTTAGTTTTCTGCCATGATGATCTGTCCAGTACTGTCAGTAGGGGGTTGAAGTGTCCCACCATTATTGTGTCATTATCTAAGTCTCTTTGTAGGTCTCTTAGAACTTGCTTTATGAACATGGGTGCCCCTGGATTAAGTGCATATATATTTTGGATAGTTAGGTTTTCTTGTTGAGTTGGAACCTTTGACATTATATAATGATATTCTTTGTTTTTTTTGATCTTTGTTGGTTTAAAGTCTGTTTTGTCTGAAATTAGGATAGCAACTCCTGCATTTTTCTCTTATTCATTTGCTTGGTAGATTTTTCTCCATCTCTTTACTTTGAGCTTGAAGTTGTCATTACATGTAAGATGGGTCTTTTTTATGCAGCATACAGTTGGGTCTTCCTTCTTTATCCAACTTGCCATACTGTGCCTTTAAATTGGAGCATGTAGCCTGTTTACATTCAAGGTTAATATTGATTTGTGTAGATTTGATCCTGTCAACATGTTGTTAGCTGGTTATTATGCAGATTTGATTTTGTGGTTTCTTTATACTGTCAATGGCTTATGTACTTAAGTCTGTTTTTGTGGTGGCCAGTAATGCTCTTTCCTTTCCATATTTAGCACTCCCTTAAGGACCTCTTGGGTGGTATTAACAAATTCCCTTAGCATTTGCTTATCTGAAAAGGATCTTATTTCTCCTTCATTTATGAAGCGTGGTTTGGCTAGATATGATATTCTTGGTTGGAATTTCTTTGCTTTAAGAATGCTGAATATAGGTCCTCAATTTCTTCTGTTTATAAAGTTTCTCCTGAAAGATCCACTGTTACCCTGTTGAGGTTCCCTTTGTAGGTGACCTGCCTCTTCTCTCTAGCTGCCTTTTTTCTTTCACTTACACTTTTACTTTCATTTCAACCTAGAAGAATCTGATAACTGTGTGTCTTGGGGATGGTTATCTTGTATAGTATCTTGCAGGGGTTCCCTGCATTTCCTAAATTTGAATGTTTGCCTCTATAGTGAGGTTGGGGAAATTTTCATGGATGGTAACCTCAAATATGTCCTCCAACTTGCTTGCTTTCTCTCTTCTTTCAGGGATGTCAGTAAATCACAGATTTGATCTCTTTATGTAATCTCATATTTCTCAGAGTTTTTTCATTCTTCTTTATTGTTTTTTTCTTTATTTTTGTCTGAGTTAGTTTGGAGAACTGGTCTTCAAGCTTTGAGATTCTTTCCTCAGTTTGGTCGATTCAACTGGTAATAATTCTGATTGTATTAGGAAATTCTTGAAGTGAGTTTCTCACCTCTATTGGATCAGTTTGGTACTTTCTTAAAATGGCCATTTTGTTTCTTATCTCCTATATCATTTCATTGTATTCCTTAGATTCCTTGGGTTGGATTTTGAGTTTCTCTTGATGGTTGATGATCTTCATTCTTATTCATAGTCTGAATTCTATTTCTGACATTTCAGCCATTTTAGCCTAGTTTAGAACCATTGCTAGAGAACTAATATGATCTTCCAGAGGTCAGAAGACACTCTGGCTTTTTGAGTTGCCAGAGTTCTTGTGCTCGTTCTTTCTTTTCTGTATGGGCTGATGTTCCTTCAGTCTTTCAAATTGCTGTTTTTGAATAGGTGTTTTTTGTTTGTTTGTTTGTTTGTTTGTTTGTTTGTTTTTGCTTTTATCTTCTTAGATGCCCTTGTGGGCTTGATTGTGGTTTAAGGTAGGTTCAGTTGACTGGCTTGAATTCTATTCTGCTTCTGGGTCTTGAAGGAGTCCCTCTTTGGTTGGGTGTTCTGGTGCATGGGGCTCCTTCATGCAGGGACCACAGTTGGCAACCAGGCTGTATTCTTACTGTGTCAGCCCAAATCTGCTCTCCCAGTGCTTCCCAGGAGAAAACAGAGTTGTGCCTGCTCACAGAGTTCCAGCAGAAGTGAGACCACTGAGTTTGAAGATCTAGCATGTGTGGACCATTTGGCTACAGGTGGCAAGGATAGCTAGAGTAGCCCACCCTGCCATCTATGTGTTTCCAGGGCAAGAGGAGGCTATACCTGTATTGGTTAATATTGAGTGTCAACTTGATTGGATATTGTTCCTGAGTATGTATATGAAAGTGTTGCCAAAGGAAATGAACATTTGAGTCAGTAGATGGGGAAAGGCAGACCCACCCTCAATCTGGATGGGCACCATCTAATCAGCTGCCAGCGTGGCTAGGATAAAAGCAGGCAGAGGAATGTGGAAAGACTAGACTGTTTGAGTCTTCCGGCCTCCACATTTCTCCCTGGCTGGATGCTTTCTGCCCTTAAACATCAGACTCCAAGTACTTCAGCTTTTGGACTCTTGGACTTATACCAGTGATTCACCAGGGACTTTCAGGCCTTTGGCTGCAGAGTGAAGGCTACACTATCCGCTTTTCTACTTTTGAGGTTTTGGGACTTGGACTGGCTTCCTGGCTCCTCAGCTTGCAGATGGCCTGTTGTGGGACTTCACCTTGTGACTGTGTGAATCAATTCTCCTAATAAACTCCCCTTCATATATTCATCTATCCTAGTAGTTCTGTCCCTTTAGAGAACCCTGACTAATACAGCACCCTTTGCAAATTCAGGCAAAATTGGCTCATTTGGCTGGAAGCTACCAGTGGTGGGGTTAGGTTGAGTTGTCTGCTCTGCCATCTGGATGCTTCCCAGAATGACAAGAAGCTCAATGGTTACTAGTGGTGGGGGTGGGTGGGGTTGCCCATCCTGCTGTTTGGGTACTTTCCTTCCCCAGACAGCAGGGGGCTGTGGCCACTGGCTGAGTTCAGAGAGAAGTTGTCCTGCTAGACCAGAAGCCACATTGAGCCTTTTCCAGGGAGGGGAAAATCTTACTGCCCCCAGGCACTGCAACTGCAGACTCTGTTGGGGGTATGGTGCTGGTGTTGGTCTGCTCCAGGGGCCAAGACTTATAGAAGTCACCTTGGACTTGAGGGGATTTGCCTCTGCAAAATGTTTGAGGGGCTCTCTGCCTCATTCTAGAAGTGAGGTTGGAGGTATGGGAGGGCCAGGGGTATTCACCCATTTCCAGTCTTGCACAGGTACCTGTTTAGAGTATGAATCACCCAGGGGGCTGTGAGTCACTTACCCTTTCCCAGGTTGGAGACATACTCCTGGCACTGCGCTGATCACAGTCAGGCTGGTGCCCAGCTTCACTCCTCTGTGCTCTCAGTGTCTCCCTCCTGCTTTGATTTATCCTGACCTTGTTTCTCAGATGATTGTCATTCACAGTCAGTGTTCACTAGCCTTTTTGTTTCCTCTCCCTGAGAGCAGCACACATGAGCTTTCTTCTAGTCTGCCGTCTTGACCCAACCCCCGCATTCAGTGATATTGAAGTAGGAAGGGACAGGCCTTTCGGTGTCCTCAATAACTATTCTGACTATCTCTTTCACTTTGTTTTTGAGCATTCTGTGTGAAAAGGCTCTCTTTCTTTTACTTCCCAGGTACTATCTTACCTAGTTTTACAAAGATGAAAATTAAACCTTACAATTATACATCTATAGATAGAATCTTTGTCTCTCATTGCAAACTATTTTTACCATTTTTTTACTTCAGTCTGAGTTGGGAACATGAATTGTCCCTTGGAATAAAAGTGAGAGAGCTGAAGAGAAAGAATGTATACAAAAAACACATTAATACTTTGAGATATAATCCTGCCACAGGGTTATGTTTTCCTTCCAACAAAAGAGCAATCCATGGCAATCTCCTTAAATCCTTCTTTTTCCTCTTCTTTAGTTTTAAAAGGTCAGAATGCAGCTGGGCACGGTGGCTTACGCCTGTAATCCCAGCATTTTGGGAGGCTGAAATGGGTGGATCACCTGAGGTCAGGAGTCTGAGACCAGCCTGGCCAACATGGTGAAACCCCGTCTCTACTAAAAAGATACAAAAAATTAGCCAGGTGTAGTGGTGTGCTTGCAGTCCCAGCTACTGAGGAGGCTGAGACAGGAGAATCGCTTGAACCCGGCAGGTGGAGGTTGTGGTGAGCTGAGATCATGCCACTGCACTCTGGCATAGGTGGAATCTAAAACGTATACTACCAATTTGGACCTTTTATCTGAATTTCAGATCTATATTAAAACATCTTCCATATCTCCATTTGAATGTGCAAAGGAAATATCTTATATGAACTGAATTCCTGATTCCTCATATCTAGCAACCACCATGACAACCAAATTTGCTCAAAGTTGTTTCTTTTGCATGATTATAAATTTTAGTAAACAAAAACTCTGTTTCTTCCAATTGTCAGGCCAAATCTCTAGTCTCAAAGACATTTTTGGCCTGTACATTTATTTATCCATCACATACACACATTCTAATTGATTTGTTTATAGATAAGGTAATAGAATAAGAATCTATTTTTAAATTATCATGACTTAGTAAAAACTCTGGTTTGCTAACTTATGTCTGAGTTATTTAGTGTATGTATGTTTGAACATGTGTTTGTATAAAAGTGTCCATTGATGAAAACATTTTTCAAACTTTGTTGTTCAGAATTTTTCTGAAGTTGCTAACTTAAGTGAAAAGAAATATACTATTCCTTTCACTTCTAGGCCAAATTTGGTGAATTAGAATGTACTGACATAGATTTATATTGAACTCTAAATATATACACATTTCTACTACAGGAAAAGCAAATGTGTTAAAATTCTAATTTATTGTTTAAGTACTGGAGATTTTTATTAATAAAAATGAATATTTGCTCTTGTTTATTGGTATTTTCTCAGGTAGCCAAGTTATAAGTTGACATCAAGTTGTCTGTGGTTCAACCCCGGTTTTAAAAGTGAGTAAAGCTGTATTTAATACAGAAAGGGAAAATAAAATACATAAAATAATGGGCTCTAAGATAAGGAAAAACTGTAACCAAATTTTCCACATCTACTGCCTATGGAGAGAGAAGTCAATGTTGCTTTATATTAATCATATTCTGCAATAGTAGCACATCATGGATGAGACTACTATTCCTGGTTAGTAGGTCTAGAATATTTGGGTATGGCCTTATTTTTAGATGATCCCATGAGGCTGTCAGAGTGCTTACAAACATGATTTTGACCCTATAAAATAATCTCATATTGTCCTTCTCTCTCTTTTTCTTTCTTTACTTTGCCATTAATGAAGCCCTGGCTATTATTCTCTATTTCCCGTTCCTTTTTCTCTTAACTCTATGCCAAAGAAGGCTTTGATGGGCAGATGAATTATCTTCTGCTCTAGGCATTGAGAAAATGATAGGCTATTTGTTATCTGCTTCTCTTTCTGATGTCATTGGTGGGTCTTCACTTAATTGGTCCTCTCTTTCATCTGTGTTAAGGTGTAAAATTGAGGTATAGGCTGATTAATTTGGTGTTGTGGAACATAGAGAGTCAAGACTAGCTTGCAGGAATTCTACATTTTGGGACAAACTCTAAACAAAGAAAGATAAGTGATATTTGGTCAACAGTTACAAATGTCATGCAGAAACTGATGTTTGATTAAGAGTAAGATGTGGCCAGGAATTCGAGACCAGCCTGGCCAACCTGGTGAAACCCTGTCTCTACTAAAAATACAAAATTTAGGGGGGCGAGGTGGCCAGCGCCTGTAATCCCAGCTACTCGGGAGGCTAAGGCAGGAGAATCACTTGAACCTGGGAGGCAGAGGTTGCAGTGAACCTAGATCATGCCATTGCACTCCAGCCTGTGCGACAAAGCAAGAATCCATCTCAAAAAAAGAGGGGAGGAGAGGAGAGGGGAGGGGAGAGGAGGGGAGGGGAGCGGAAGGGAGGGGAGGAGTTTTCTGTCATCTAAATAATAGAGCAGATATTTTATTGCTGTTAACCTATTTGCATATTGAATATACACAATAATAGAGAAATCAGTAGCAGATTAGTCAAAAGTGTATCTATATTGTTTTCTAACTTTAGAGATAGATGATATTATAGAAATAGTTCCAAGTCTTTGCTATTGCGAATAGTGCCACAATAAACATACGTGTGCATGTGTCTTTATTGCAGCATGATTTATACTCCTTTGGGTATATACCCAGTAATGGGAAGGCTGGGTCAAATGGTATTTCTAGTTCTAGATCCCTGAGGAATCGCCACACTGACTTCCACAATGGTTGAACTAGTTTACAGTCCCACCAACAGTGTAAAAGTGTTCCTGTTTCTCCACATCCTCTCCAGCACCTGTTTCCTGACTTTTTGATGATTGCCATTCTAACTGGTGTGAGATGGTATCTCATTGTGGTTTTGATTTGCATTTCTCTGATGGCCAGTGATGATGAGCATTTTTTCATGTGTCTTTTGGCTGCATAAATGTCTTCTTTTGACATTGTGCACATGTACCCTAAAACTTAAAGTATAATAATAAAAAATAAATAAATAAATAATAAAACTAGAAAAAAAAAGAAATAGTAAGATTGTGAAACATTTATCTTATTGGAATAACAATGCACTGAGTATTTGGAGAGTTTCAGGCTATGTGGAAAGAGATTTAATGGAAAAAAAGGTCATGAAATGAAAAATTAATTATCAAGTCTTCAAAGAGATTTTAATTTAAATATGTTTAAGCTGAACTACTGTTGAATATAAGCAGTTAACTTTAGTGCTTAGAGTTGATAAAAATTTAGAAAAGAGTAATTCAAAAATGTAGTTCAGTATTTGATTCATAAACCACTTTAGCTAATGTTTGTTCATCAGCTACTTAGTGTTCAGTGAACAGCTGTACAGAACTTATTAAAATTCAGAAGCCAAGACTATTCCCATTATGCATGATCTCATGAATGGAAACAATATGTGATAATCTAAATGAGCCAGTTAATGTGAAGCAGCAAAAACCCACTTAGAAGGAGTGTTTTAATTAAATGCCACTTAATTATTATAATCAGATTCCAAACAATTTTATAGAATAAATCATTGTGAATTCAGTTATTTTTGGACAATATATGCAACAATCAAATAAGGTAGTAAAAGTAAAATAAAGATTTCCTTAGAAATGTACACATGACCATCATTTCCAAATAATCATTCCATAATGTTCCATATTCCATTTGTTTTAATTTAAAATTATTTACATATATATAAGAAAGACATCAAGTACAATATTTGAATGTATTGCAATATATAAAATATTCTTTTGTATTTCTTGGTAGTGTTATTTTGCAAAGTTTTCCTTCCTTAAAAACTTTTTCATGTAAGTCCAAAAAGTGCTTTTATGACTGAGATATTTTTTTAATGACCTTACAAATGCTTTACAAATAATATCACAAAGCAATTGGGAATATGTTAGACATAACTAAATATCAATAGGCTTAAAGTTCAGAAAACTTTGCTCTCTGGTAATATTCAAATTTTGGCAAATACATGACAACAACTTCAACAGGCTGATTTTTTTTTAACCTAACTCTCATGTTTCTGACATTCATGAGATGGATTGTTAACTGCTGATATCAATCCCTAAGCATGGGCTAAAAATGATATAAAGTCAGAGCAAGAGTGAGCACAGCTTCAAAAAGTGCTTAAAAAGGAGAAAAGAATAAAAGTTGGAATGCAGAATATAAACTAAGTTTAGGAAAAATATAAGAAATAGAAAGCTGTCTTCTGTCTAAATATTTTACCTTACTTAGCTTAGAATGTATTGCTATAAATAAAACTGGGACAAAAATTTGACTTAAAACATGTGTCTAAACCCTTGCAACTGGCCTAATTCAAATAAAGAAGGAGTACTCTTATTTTGTAAAAGTGACTTTAAAACTTACATTTTCTTTCCATTTTCTTCTACATTTAGAATCCCCTTTATACAGCTCCATGTATCCTTTGCCTTTCTGTTGCTGTAGCCATTATTCATCCAAATGGATTGGTGGAGGGGTAGCTTCCCAATATATCATTTTACTGGCCATACTTCAGGTACTCTGCTGGAACTGAAAATGATTTCTTAATAAATCTTTCGTGGAAGATGGGGATATTCTAAAACAAAAGCTTTTATAATCTACGCTAACTCACCCTGTCCTCTTCTCTCTCACCTCCTTCCTTCCTTCCCTTCTTTCTTATAGTCCTCACATTTCCTTTTCCTACATACATTCTGCCTCTTTCTTCTACTTTTAAGGACTTCTATGATAACATTAGCCCATTTGAAGGATCAAGGGTAATTTCTCTATTGGTCACCTTGATTCCCCTTTGTCATATAACAAGGTTTTCACAGATAATGGATATCTTGGGGAAAGGTCATTCTGCCCACATTAATGAATACTACATTATACTTATTTTCCAAATACTTCCACCAATCCTTATGTGATATAGAGTAGAAAGTATTTTTATAAAACCAAGAAGATGGATTTTTTTTCTGTGTTTTTAAAAAATGTATTTATGAATTACTTAAAATATATTAAAGACAGATGCCATTTTCTGGGTTTATAAAATAAAATTATTTGTGAGATATAACAATTAACCTGAGCATTTGACTACAAGAGGTAAATCACCACTGAAAATTATTGGACACCAAGCCTGATAGAAGCCAACTACTGAATCTGAACTTGCACTCTATGCCAGGCTAACTGGTTTTCTTTGACAGCAGATGCATTATATTATTTGTTTGGCAGTACTTCAGTCATAGTAGATCCTTAAATAATATGACCTAAATCATAGTAGGTGCTTAAATATATTTACTTAATAAATAACTTCTCTTTATTTGAATTTTATATTAGAAATACATTTCTACAAAAATTATTATAACTTCTTATTATAATAATTATCACATTATTGTTCTTCTCAGGTTTTCATTAGGGTGTTTGAGGGACTGTATTTTATTCCCTTTTGTATTCTCAACACTTAGAACAAGCATAGGTAGGTATTTTATAGGCCCTCAATACATTTAAATTGGATTAACATTAAAACGATAACCAGATTTTTATCTTATGATTATTGCTACATTCTTTCAGAGATATTTTTTGTTGTCACATTTAGTAAGAATAGGTCAAAATAGTTTAAATATTATTTGATAAATGTGAAATGTTTTAAGAGTACACTTTCAAATAGGTAGGGGCCAGTGAAATGTTTTAAGAATACACTTTCAAATAGGTAGGGGCCATTTTGAATCAAGGATATCCTGGCATTAGGAAAGCAAAAACCATGCCTCTTACCTTCACAATGACTGCAGAAATGCAGTTAACGTATACAGGAGATAAGTAAATTCTAATTAGCTTTGTCCATCAGTCAACTGTTTCTATGAATGCAAACTCATCAGAATATCTTGACAATGCATCTTCTTGAAAGCATAAATTGGTTTAAAATATAATCAAACAAAAATTTTATTTTTACAAAATATGCCTATATATTAATATAAAATATTTAAAAATGGTAACACTTATCTCATGGAGAAAGTCCTGAGTGCATCAAAAGTTAAATTACTTCCTGAGCTCTGCTTGGTAGGCCAAGCTGAATTATTGGAAAGCTCCTAATTGTTATTCTGCAAAGAACAATGCATCTGTCTTCGTTTTGCATTTGTTATAATCAGATAATGAACTAAAATAGCTATTAAGCAAAAAGTTATGCCTAATGTCTCATCCAATGATTTTTAATCCAAATTTTGCTTTTTCTTTATGTTTCCTGAGACTGAGTGATGAGTATATAACTTTGAACATTGGGACCCCTGTGCCCATTTGTGAGCACAAGATTTCATCTTATTTTCTATTTCACAAATAAAAAGTGTTTTTTGTACTGTAAAAGTAATATTAACACTCAAAGGTATTTCAAATCCTAAAATGAATTAAAAAGAAGATAGCAAAAATGATTACTAAATTATATTATCTAAATACTTTTAAATATTTTCCTGTATGTATATAGCATTTATGAAATAACCATATTTATTATTATTATTATTTATTGTTATTATTTTTTGAGATGGAGTCTTGCTCTGTCACCCAGGTTGTAATGTAGTGGCGTGATCTCGGCTCACTGCAACCTCCACTTCCCAGGTTCAGGCGATTTTTCTGCCTCAGCCTCCCTAGTAGCTGGGACTACAGGTACATGCCACCACATCCGGCTAATTTTTTGTATTTTTAGTAGAGACAGGGTTTCACAGTGTTAGACAGGATGGTCTCATTCTCCTGACCTAGTGATCTGCCCACCTCGGCCTCCCAAAGTGCTGGGATTACAGGCAGTGAGCCACTATGCCTGGCCATATTATTATTATTATTATTATTATTATTATTTTTGAGACAGAATCTCTCGCCCTTGTCACCCAGGCTAGAGTGCAGTGGTGCAATCTTGGCTCACTGTAACCTCAGCCTCCCCATTTCAAGCAAGTCTCCTGCCTCAGCCTCCCAAGTAGCTGGGGTTATAGGCACCCACCACACCTGGCTAATTTTTGTAGCTTTAGTAGAGACGGGGATTTCACCATGTTGGCCAGGCTGGTCTCAAACTCTTGACCTCAGGTGATCTACCTCCCTTGGCCTCCCAAAGTGCTGGGATTGCAGGCATGAGACATGGCACCCGGTCCTGAAATAATCATATTTTTCAAGACATTGGTACCCTGTCAACTTACCAAAAAATGTGTGGATATTTTCCCCTTGTAATAATTGTAGATATATGTGACATGTTTCATTGTATGGCTATGACATCACTATTTTAATCATCCCCAACCACTAGACATGTATTTAGATTGTTTCCAAAATTTTTAATTATGGAGACTCCTGACAGACCACATATCTGCCAGGATTGTCCAGTTTCCAGTTAGCATTAATGCCTAGAAATACAATTAATTGACGAGCAGGTAGGATCTTGTAAAATCTGGTTGTGTATCAGGCTTATAACAGTTTATTTATTTCATTATACTTGCCAAAAAAACTACCTTTGTTTTGCTGAGCTTTTCTATTATTTTTTTTCTCATTTATGAATTTCAGTTTTGAAATTTATTATTTACCTTCCCCTAGATTCTTTTGTTCTGTTTCTAATTCACCTCCACTTTCCCTCCCCTGGCATATTAGTCCATTCTGATGCTGCTAATAAAGACGTACCTGAGACTGGATAAGAGGTTTAATTGACTCACAGTTCCACATGGCTAGGGAGGCCTCAGGAAACTTACAATCATGGCAGAAGGGGAAGCAAACACTTCCTTCTTTGCATGATGGTAGGAAGGAGAAGAACGAATGGGTAGGTGGGGAAGCTCCTTATAAAACCATCAGATCTTATCAGAAGTCATTCACTATCATGAGAACTGCATGAAGGTGACCACCCCCATGATTCAATTGCCTCCCACCAGGCCCCTCCCACGACACGTGGGGATTATAGTAACTATAATTCAAGATGCAATTAGGGTGGGGACACAGCCATACCATGTCATTCCACCCCTGCCTCTCCGAAATCTCATGTCCTCACAACAAAAACACAATCATACCCTTCCAGCAGCTCTCCCAAAATCTTAACTCATCCCAGCATTAAATCAAAAGTCCAGGTCCAAAGTCTCATCTGAAACAATCAAGTTCCTTCTGCCTATGAGCCTGTAAAATAAAAAGCAAGTTAGTTACATCCTGGATACAATGGGGGTACAGGCATTGGGTAAATACACCCATTTGAAATGGGAGAAACTGGCCAAAACAAAGGGACTACAGGCCGCATGCAAGTTCAAAATCAAATAGGGCAGTCATTAAACCTTAAAGTTCTAAATGATCTCCTTTGACTCCATGTCTTACATCCAGGGCACACGAATGAGTGGGCTCCCACAGCATTGGGCAGCTCCACCCTGTGAGTATAGGCCCTTTGCAGGGTATAGCCCCGCCCCACCCCAAGGCTGCTTTCATGGGCTGGTGTTGAGTATCTGTGGCTTTTCCAGATGCACAGTACAACATGTGGGTGGGTCTGTCATTCTCAGGTCTGGAGGACAGCGGCCATCTTCTCATAGCTCCACTAGCCAGTACCCCACTGAAGACTATGTGTTGGGGCTCCAACCCCACATTTCCCTTCTGCACTGCCCTCGCAGAGGTTCCCCAGGAGGGCCCCACCCCTGAAGCAAACTTCTGAGTGGGCATCCATACATCCTCTGAAATCTAGCTGGACATTCTCTCAAACCTCAATTTTTTACTTTTATGCACCTACAGGTCCAACACCACATGTAAGCCTTGAGACTTGCACCCTTTGAATCAACGGCCTGAGCTGTACATTGGCCCTTTTTAGCCATGGCTAGAGCTTAAGCAGCTGGGAGGCAGGGCACCATGTCCTGATGCTGCATAGGGCAGGATGGCCCTGGGCCTGGCCCAGGAAACCATTGTTCCCTCCTAAGTCTCCAGGCCTTTGATGGGAGGGGCTGCCATGAAGGTCTCTGACATGCTCTGGAGAATATTTTCCCCATTTTCTTGATGATTAACATTTGGCTCCTCATTACTTGTGCAAATTTCTGAAGTCAGCTTGAATTTCTCCCCAGAAAATGGGGTTTTCTTTTCTATCACATCATCAGGCTGCATCTTTTTTGCTCTGCTTCCTCTTGAGTGCTATGCTACTTAGAAATGTCTTCTGCCAGATACCCTAAATTATCTCTCTCAAGTTCAAAGTTCCACAGATCTCTAGGGCAGGGACAAAATGCTGCCAGTCTCTTTGCTAAAACATAGCAAGAGTGACATTTACTCCAGTTCCCAATAAGTTCTTCATCTCCATCTGAGACCACCTCAGCCTGGACTTCATTGTTTGTATCGCTATCACCATTTTGGTCAAACCCATTCAACAAGTCTCTAGGAAGTTCTAAACTTTCCAGCATCTTCCTGTCTTCGGAGCCCTCCAAGTCTCTAGGAAGTTCCAAGCTTTTCCACATTTTTCTGTCTTCTGAACCTTCCAAACTGTTCCAGCTTCTGCTTTTTATCCAGTTCCAAAGCTGCTTCCACATTTCCTGAATCTACAGCAATGCCCCACTCTCTGCAGTAGCATTTTGCTGTATTAGTCCATTCCCATGCTGCTAATAAAGACATACCAGAGACTGGGTAATATATAAGGAAAAAAGGTTTAATTAATTCACAGTTCAGCATGGCTCAAGAGGCCTCAGGAAACTTACAATCATGGCAGAAGGGGAAGCAAACATGTCCTTCCTCTCATAATGGCCGGAAAGAGAAATGCAGAGCAAAGGGAGGGGGGAAAGCCCCTTATAAAACCAGCAGATATAGTGAAAACTCACTATTATGAGGACAGCATAGAAATAACTGCCCTATGATTCAGTTTCCTCCCATCAGGTTACTCCCATGATATGTGGGGATTATGGGAACTACAATTCAAGATGAGATTTGAGTGGGACACAGCCAAACCATATCACCTAGTTCTCAAGATTAATATTTACTGCAGCATAATATTTACGAATGTGGACTCCAGAGCAGGACCACCTGAGTTTGAATGCTGGTTTTGCCATTTGATAACTCTGTAATAGTGGATAGGTTTTTCAACTTATCTCTGCTTCAATTTCTTTATCTGTACAATGGGAATAATAATAGTATTTACTTCAGGTTTGTGATGAGTTAATAATATTTATAAGTTCTTAGATCAATACCTAACACAGTAAATATGTGGTACATGTTAGCTATTGATGTAGTTTCACTGTGTCCCCACCCAAATCTCAACTAGAATTGTATCTCCCAGAATTCCCATATGTTGTGGGAGGGACCTAGGGGGAAGTAATTGAATCATGGGTGCCGGTTTTCCCATGCTATTCTTGTGATATTGAATAAGTCTAACAAGATCTGATGGTTTTATCAGGGGTTTCTGCTTTTGATTCTTCCTCATTTTCTCTTGCTGCCACCATGTAAGAAATGCCTTTCACCCTCTGCCATGATTCTGAGGCCTCCCCAGCTGTGTGGACCTTTAAGTCCAGTTAAACTTCTTTTTCTTCCCAGTCTTGAGTAAGTCTTTATCAGCAGCATGAAAACAGACTAATATGGCTATTATCTTTGTCTTTTATTTGAATAAAGAAAACATTTAAAGTTTGTATTCTATTTTGAGTACTACTCTAAATCTTACAGCTTTTTCTTCAAACTGTATGTTTTTAGTAACTTTCTAATTGTTATAATTTTATTTTGTTCTCATTAAACAAGGTTTAATAGGAGAATGATTTTTTGAAGTTGAACTTTTTGGGTCACATTTTAATAATTCATTGCAATTTTATGTGTTATCAAAGAGTATAGCCTATGAGGTCTGTATTTTAAAAATATTGTTTATTAAGTCAAGTAGATTATTTGTCTATTTATTTAGGGATGGGGTCTCGCTTTGTTGCTGAGGCTGAACTCAAACTCCTGGGCTCAAGTGATCCTCCCACCCCACCCTCCCAAGTAGCTGGGACTACAGGCATGGGCTGCCACACCTGAAAAATGATTTATTGCTTATGGATATAAACATTTATTATTCCATGCACATAATAAATTATTTCATGGATACAAACATTATTCCATTTATGAAAATATTTAAGCTTCTTCATAGTGATAAGAACATTCAAATCCCCTATAGGTGTTATATTTTGGTAAACAAGATTTATAAAATTCAGAAGGAGACATGGTGAACTCTTCCAGTTATAATTACTTTTCAGAAATAAATTTACTTTAGGCAAAGCAATCCTAAGCAAGAAGAATAAAGCCAGAGGCATCATACCACTGAACTTCAAACTATCCTACAAAGCCACAGTAACCCAGACAGCATAGTACGGGCACAAAAGCAGACACATAGGGGCCAGGTGTTGTGGCTCATGCATGTAATCCCAGCACTTTGGGAGGCCGAGGTGGGTGGATCACAAGGTCAAGAGATCGAGACCATCCTGGCCAACATGGTGAAACCCTGTCTCTACTAAAAATACAAAAATTAGCTTGGAGTGGTGGTGCACGCCTGTAGTCCCAGCTACTCGGGAGGCTAAGGTAGGAGAATTGCTTGAACCTGGGAGGTGGAGGGTGCTGTGAGCTGAGATCACACCACTGCACTCCAGCCTGGTGACAGGGCAAGACTCTGTCTCAAAAAACAAACAAAACAAAAAAACAGATACATAGACTAATGGAACAAAATAGAGGACTCAGAAATAAAACTGCACACCCACAACCATCTCATCTTTGACAAAGCCAATCAAAACAAGCAATGGTAAATGGACTACCTATTCAATAAACGGTGCTGGAATGACTGGCTAGCCATATGCAGAAAATTGAAGCTGGAATCCTACCTTTCACCAAATATCAAAATTAACTCAAAATATATGAAACATTTAAATATAAGACCGCAAGCTATAAAAATTCTGAAACACAACCTAGGAAATACTCCTTTTGACATCAGCTTGGCAAAGAATTTTTGGCTAAGTCCCTAAAAGCAATTGGAACAAAAGCAAAAATAAAGAAGTGGGACCTAATTAAACTCAAAAGCTTCTATACAGCAAAATAAAATACTAACAAAGCAAGCAGACAGCCTATGGAATGGAAGAATATATTCATTAACTATGCATCCCACAAATGCCTAATATCCAGAATGAATGGGGAACTTAAACAAATCAGCAAGCAAAAAACAACTGCATTAAAAATGGACATAGGACATGAACAGATACTTCTTAAAAGAAAACATACAAGCAGCCAACAAACATATGAAAAAGTGCTAATCATCACAAATCACCAGAGAAATGTAAATCAAAATCACAATGCAGTACCATCTCACTCTAGTCAGAATGGCTATTGTTATAATTATTTTATTTTATCTTTTTTAAGTTCCAGGGTACATGTGCAGGATGTGCAGGTTTATTACATAACTAAACGTGTGCCATGGTGGTTTGCTGCACCTGTCAACCCATCACTTAGGTGTAAAGCCCAGTATGCATTAGCTCTTTTCCCTAATGCTGTCCCTACCCCACCCCCCGATAGGCCCCAGTAAGTGTTGTTCCCCTTCCTGTGTCCATGTGTTCTCATTGTTCAGCTCCCACTTGTAACTGAGAACGTGCAGTTTTTGGTTTTCTGTCCCTGTGTTAGTTTTCTGAGAATAATGGCTTCCAGCTTCATCCATGTCCCTGCAAAGGACATGATCTCATTCGTTTTTATGAATGTATAGTATTCTGTGGTGTATATGTGCCACATTTTCTTTATCCAGTCTATCATTGATGGGCATTTTGGTTGATTCCATGTCTTTGCTATTGTGAATAGTGCTACAATGAGCATATGTGTGCATGTATTGTTATAATAGAATGATTTATATTTGTATTCCTTTGGGTATATACCCAGTAATGGCATTGCTGGGTCAAATGGTATTTCTGGTTCTAAATCTTTGACGAATCGCCACACTGTCTTCCACAATGGTTGAACTAACTTACATTCCCACCAACAGCGTAAAAGCATTCCAATTTCTCTGGAACCTTGCCAGCATTTGTTGTTTCTTGATTTTTTAATAATCACCATCTGACTGTCATGAGATGGTATCTTATTATGATTTTGATTTGCATTTTTCAAATGATCATGGATGTTGAGCTATTTTGTATATGTTTGTTGGCTCCATGTATGTCTTTTTTTGAGTAGTGTCTGTTCATATCCATTGCCCACATTTTAATGGGGTTGTTTCTTGTAAATTTGCTTAAGTTTCTTATAGATTCTGGATATTAGCTTTTTGTCAGATGGATAGATTGCAAAAATTCTCTCTTATTCTCTAGGTTGTCTGTTGGCTCTGATGATAGCTTCATTTGCTGTGCAGAAGCTCTTTAGTTTAATTAGATCCCTTTTGTCAATTTTTGATTTTGTTACAATTGCTTTTGGCGATTTCATCATAAAGTCTTTGCCCATGCCTATGTCATGAATTGTATTGCCTATATTTTCTTCTAGGGTTTTTATAGTTTTGGGTTTTACATTTAAGTCTTTAATCCATTTGAGTTAAGCTTTGTATAAGGTGTAAGGAATGGATCCAGTTTTAATTTTCTGCATATGGTTAGCCAGCTCTCCCAGCACCATTTATTAAATTTTATTTTTAAATAGGGGATCCTTTCTCCATTGCTTGTTTTTGTTGGCTTTGTCAAATATCAGATGGTTGTAGATGTGCCATTTTATTTCTGAGTTCTCTATTCTGTTCCATTGGTCTATGTGCCTGTTTTTGTACCAGTACCATGCTGTTTTTGTTACTGTGGCCTTGTAATATAGTTTGAAGTTGGGTAGTGTGAAGCCTCCAGCTTTTCTTTTTGCTTAGGATTATCTGGCTATGAGAGCTATTTTTTGGTTCATATGAATTTTAAAACAGTTTTTTCTAATTCTGTGAAGAATGTCAATAGTAGTTTAATGAGAATAGCATTGAATATATAAATTGTTTTGGGCAGTACAGCCATTTTCATGATACTAATTCTTCCTATCCATGAGCATGGAATGTTTTTCTGATTTCCTTTAGTAGTTTGGAGTTCTCCCTGAAGAGGTCCTTCACTTCCCTTGTTAGTTGTATTTCTAGGTATTTTATTCTCTTTGTGGCATTTGTGAATGGGAGTTCATTCATAATTTGGGTTTTTGTTTGTGTGTTGTTGTTGTATAGGAATGCTTGTGATTTCTACACATTGATTTTGTATCTGAGACTTTGTTAAAGTTGTCTATCATCTTAAGAAGCTTTTGGGCTGAAATTATGTGTTTTTCTAGATGTAGGATTATGTCATCTGCAAACAAAGACACTTTGACTTCCTCTCTTCCTATTAATATGCTTTATTTCTCTCTCTTGCCTAATTGGTCTGGCCAGAACTTCCAATGCTATGTTCAATAAGAGTGGGGAGAGACGGCATCCTTGTCTTGTGCCAGTTTTCAAGGGGAATGCTTCCAGCTTTTGCCCATTCAGTATGATATTGACTGTGTGTTTGTCGTAAATGGCTTTTATTATTTTGAGGTACATTCCTTCAGTATCTAGTTTATTGAGAGTTTTTAACATGAAGGGATGCTGAATATCGTTGAAGGCCTTTTATGTGTCTATTGAGATAGTCATGGTTTTTTTGTCTTTAGTTCTGTTTATGTAATGAATTACGTTTATTGATTTGCATATGTTGAACCAGCCCTGCATCCTAGGGATGAAGCCGATTTGATTGTGGTGGGTAAGTTTTTTTATGTGCTGCTGGATTTGGTTTGCCAGTATTTTATTGTGGATTTTTGCATCGATGTTCATCAGATATATTAGCCTAAATCTTTCTTTGTTTGTTGTATCTCTCCCAGGTTTTGGTATCAGGATGAGTGCTGGCCTCATAAAATGAGTTAGGGAGGATTCCCTCCTTTTCAATTTTTTGGAATAGTTTCAGAAGAAATGGTACCAGCTCCTCTTTTTACTTCTGGTAGAATTCAGCTGTAAATCCATGTAGATCTGGGCTTTTTTTTTTTTTTTTTTTTTTTTTTTTTTGGTTGGCAGGCTATTTATTACTTCCTTAATTTCAGAGCTTGTTTTTGGTGTATTCAGAGATTCAACTTCTTTCTGGTTCAGTCTTGGGAGGGTGTATGTGTCCAGGAATTTATCCATTTCTTCTAGATTTTCCAGCTTATTTGTATAGATGTGTTTATAGTATTCTCTGATTTGTTTTGTATTTCTGTGGGATTGGTGGTGGTATCCCCCTTATCTTTTCTGATTGTGTTATTTGAATCTTCTCTCTTTTGTTGCTTATTAATCTTGCTAGTCATCTATTCTATTGATTTTTTTTTTCAAAAAAAAAAAAGCAGCTCTTGGATTTGTTGATTTTTCAAAGGGTTTCTCTATCTCCTTCAGTTCCACTGTGAGCTTGGTTATTTCTTGTCTTCTGCTAGCTCTAGAGTTTGTTTGCCCTTAGTTCTTTAGTTGTTTTACTTGTGATGTTGGGATGTTGTTTTGAGATCTTCCTAGCTTTTTGATGAGGACATTTAGTGCTACAAATTTCTATCTTAACACTGCTTTAGCTACATCCCAGAGATTCTGATACGTTGTCTCTTTGTTCTTATTAGTTTCAAAGAACTTCTTGATTTGTGCCTTAATTTCCATATGTACCAAAGAGTCATTTAGGAGCAGGTTGTTCAATTTCCATGTAGTTTTATAGTTTTCAGTGGGCTTTTTTGAGTTTTAATTTGATTGCTCTGTGGTCTGAGAGACTGTTATGATTCCAGTTCTTTTGCATTTGCTGAGAAGTACTTTACTTCTAATTATGTGATTGATTTTAGTGTTAAGTGCCATGTGGCACCGGAAAAAAAAAAGTATATTCTGTGGTTTTTGCATGGAGACATCTGTAGATATCTATCACGTCTACTTCATTTATTTATTTATTTATTTATTTATTTATTTATTTTTTATTATCTTTAAGTTCTAGGGTACATGTGCACAATGTACAGGTTTGTTACATATGTATGCATGTGCCATGTTGGTGTGCTGCACCCATTAACTCATCATTTGCATTAGGTATATCTCCTAATGCTATCCCTCACCCCTACCCCCAGCCCACAATAGGCCCCAGTGTGTGATGTTCCCTTTCCTGTGTCCAAGTGTTCTCACTGTTCAATTCCCACCTGTGAGTGAGAACATGCAGTGTTTGGTTTTTTGTCCTTGTGATAGTTTACTGAGAATGATGGTTTGCAGCTTCATCCATGTCCCTACAAAGGACATGAACTCATCATTTTTTATGGCTGCATAGTATTCCATGGTGTATATGTGCCACATTTTCTTAATCCAGTCTATCATTGATGGACATTTGGGTTGGTTCCAAGTCTTTGCTATTGTGAATAGTGCTGCAATAAACATATGCGTGCATGTGTCTTTATAGCAGCATGACTTATAATCCTTTGGGTATATACCCAGTAATGGGATGGCTGGGTCAAATGGTATTTCTAGTTCTAGATCCCTGAGGAATCACCACACTGTCTTCCACAATGGTTGAACTAGTTTACAGTCCCACCAACAGTGTAAAAGTGTTCCTATTTCTCCACATCCTCTCCAGCACCTATTGTTTCCTGACTTTTTAATGATCACCATTCTAACTGGTGTGAGATGGTATCTCATTGTGGTTTTGATTTGCATTTCTCTGATGGCCAGTGATGATGAGCATTTTTTCATGTGTCTTTTGGCTGCATAAATGTCTTCTTTTGAGAAGTGTCTGTTCATATCCTTTGCCCACTTGTTGATGGGGTTGTTTTTTTCTTATACATTTGTTTGAGTTCATTGTAGATTCTGGATATTAGCCCTTTGTCAGATGAGTAGATTGCAAAAATTTTCTCCCATTCTGTAGGTTGCCTGATCACTCTGATGGTAGTTTCTTTTGCTGTGCAGAAGCTCTTTAGTTTAATTAGATCCCATTTGTCAATTTTGTCTTTTGTTGCCATTGCTTTTGGTGTTTTAGACATGAAGTCCTTGCCCATGCCTATGTCCTGAATGGTAGTGCCTAGGTTTTCTTCTAGGGTTTTTATGGTTTTAGGTCTAACATGTAAGTCTTTAATCCATCTTGAATTAATTTTTGTATAAGGTGTAAGGAAGGGATCCAGTTTCAGCTTTCCACATATGGCTAGCCAGTTTTCCCAGCACCATTTGTTAAATAGGGAATCCTTCCCCATTTCTTGTTTTTGTCAGGTTTGTCAAAGATCAGATAGTTGTAGATGTGTGGTATTATTTCTGAGGGCTCTGTTCTGTTCCATTGGTCTATATCTCTGTTTTGGTACCAGTACCATGCTGTTTTGGTTACTGTAGCCTTATAGTATAGTTTGAAGTCAAGTAACGTGATGCCTCCAGCTTCGTTCTTTTGGCTTAGGATTGACTTGGCAATGCGGGCTCTTTTTTGGTTCCATATGAACTTTAAAGTAGATTTTTCCAATTCTGTGAAGAAAGTCATTGGTAGCTTGATGGGGATGACACTGAATCTATAAATTACCTTGGCCAGTATGGCCATTTTCACGATATTAATTCTTCCTATCCATGAGCATGGAATGTTCTTCCATTTGTTTGTATCCTCTTTTATTTCATTGAGCAGTGGTTTGTAGTTCTCCTTGAAGAGGTCCTTCACATCCCTTGTAAGTTGTATTCCTAGGTGTTTTATTCTCTTTGAAGCAATTGTGAATGGGAGTTCACTCATGATTTGGCTCTCCATTTGTCTGTTATTGGTTTATAAGAATGTTTGTGATTTTTGCCCATTGATTTTGTATCCTGAAACTTTGCTGAAGTTGCTTATCAGCTTAAGGAGATTTTGGGCTGAGACGATGGGGTTTTCTAGATGTACAATCATGTCATCTGCAAACAGAGTCAATTTGACTTCCTCTTTTCCTAATTGAATACCCTTTATTTCTTTCTCCTGCCTGATTGCCCTGGCCAGAACTTCCAACACTATGTTGAATAGGAGTGGTGAGAGAGGACATCCCTGTCTTATGCCAGTTTTGAAAGGGAATGCTTCCAGTTTTTGCCCATTCAGTATGATATTGACTGTGGGTTTGTCATATTAGCCTTAAACGTAAATGGGCTAAATGCTCCAATTAAAAGACACAGACTGGCAAATTGGATAAAGAGTCAAGACCCATCAGTGTGCTGTATTCAGGAAACCCATCTCACATGCACAGACACACATAGGCTCAAAATAACGGGATGAAGGAAGATCTACCAAGCAAATGGAAAACAAAAAAAGGGAGGGGTTGCAATCCTAGTCTCTGATAAAACAGACTTTAAACCAACAAAGATCAAAAGAGACAAAGAAGGCCATTACATAATGGTAAAGGGATCAATTCGACAAGAAGAGCTAACTATCCTAAATATATATGCACCCAACACAGGATCACCCAGATTCATAAAGCAAGTCCTTAGAGACCTACAAAGAGACTTAGACTCCCACTCCATAATAATGGGAGACTTTAACACCCCACTGTCAACATTAGACAGATCAACGAGACAGAAAGTTAACAAGGATATCTAGGAACTGAACTCAGCTCTGCACCAAGTGGACCTAATAGACATCTACAGAACTCTCCACGCCAAATCAACAGAATATACATTCTTCTTAGCACCACATTGCACTTATTCCAAAATTGACCACATAGTTGGAAGTAAAGCTCTCCTCAGCAAATGTAAAAGAACAGAAATTATAACAAACTGTCTCTCAGACCACAGTGCAATCAAACTAGAACTCAGGATTAAGAAACTCACTCAAAACCGCTCAACTACATGGAAATTGAACAACCTGCTCCTGAATAACTACTGGGTACATAACGAAATGAAGGCAGAAATAAAGATGTTCTTTGAAAACAATGAGAGCAAAGACACAACATACCAGAATCTCTGGGACACATTCAAAGCAGTGTGTAGAGGGAAATTAATAGCACTAAGTGCCCACAAGAGAAAGCAGGAAAGATCTAAAATTGGCACCCTAACATCACAATTAAAAGAACTAGAGAAGCAGGAGCAAACACATTCAAAAGCTAGCAGAAGGCAAGAAATAACTAAGATCAGAGCAGAACTGAAGGAGATAGAGACACAAAAAAGCCTTCAAAAAATCAATGAATCCAGGAGCTGGTTTTTTGGAAAGATCAACAAAATTGAGAGACTGCTAGCAAGACTAATAAAGAAGAAAAGAGAGAAGAATCAAATAGATGCCATAATAAATGATAAAGGGAATATCACCACCGATCCCACAGAAATACAAACTACCATCAGAGATTACTACAAACACCTCTATGCAAATAAACTAGAAAATCTAGAAGAAATGGATAAATTCCTCAACACTTACACCCTCCCAAGACTAAACCAGGAAGAAGTTGAATCTCTTAATAGACCAATAACAGGCTCTGAAATTGAGGCAATAATTAATAGCTTACCAACCAAAAACAGTCCAGGACCAGACGGATTCACAGCCGAATTCTACCAGAGGTAAAAGGAGGAGCTGGTACCATTCCTTCTGAAACTATTCCAATCAATAGAAAAAGAGGGAATCCTCTTTAACTCATTTTATGAGGCCAGCATCATCCTGATACCAAAGCCTGGCAGAGACACAACAAAAAAAGAGAATTTTAGACCAATACCCCTGATGAACATCGATGCAAAAATCCTCAATAAAATACTGGCAAACCGAATCCAGCAGCACATCAAAAAGCTTATCCACCATGATCAAGTGGGCTTCATCCCTGGGATGCAAGGCTGGTTCAACATACACAAATCAATAAACATAATCCAGCATATAAACAGAACCAAAGACAAAAACCACATGATTATCTCAATAGATGCAGAAAAGGCCTTTGACAAAATTCAACAGCCCTTCATGCTAAACACTCTCAGTAAATTAGTTATTGATGGGGTGTATCTCAAAATAATATGTCCACTTGATTTAGGGATGAGTTCAAGTCCTGAATATCTTTGTTAATTTTCTGTCTTGATGATCTGTCTAATACTGACAGTGGGGTATTAAAGTCTCCCACTATTATTGTGTGGAGGTCTAAGTCTCTTTGTAGGTCTCTAAGAATTTGTTTTATGAATCTGGATGTTCCTATATTGTGTGCATATATATTTAGGATAGTTAGCTCTTCTTGTTGAATTGAACCCTTTCACATTATGTAATGCCCTTCTTGTCTTTTTTGACCTTTGTTTGTTTAAAGTCTGTTTTGTCAGAAACTAGGATTGCAACCCCTGCTTTTTTCCTGCTTTCCATTTGCTTGGTAATTTTTCCTCCATCCCTTTATTTTGAGTTTATGTGCATCTTTGCAAATATGATGTGTCTCTTGAATACAGTGCACCAATGGGTCTTGTCTTCATATCCAGCTGGTCACAGAATGGCTATTACTAAAAAGTCAAAAAAAAAAAAAAAAACAAGAAAGAAAGAAACAGATGCTGGCTAGGCTGCAGGAAAAATGGGGAAAAGGAAATACTTATATACTGTTGTTGGGAATGTAAATTAGTTCAGCCACTTTGGAAAGCAGTTTGAAGATTTCTCAAAGAATTTAAAACAGAACTACCATATGACCCAGCAATCCCATTACTGGGCATACACTTAAAGGAAATTAAATCATTCTGCCAAGAAGATACATCCACTTAGATGCTCATCCCACTGCTATTCACAACAGCAAAGACATGGAATCAACCCAGGTGCCCATCAATGGTAGATTGGATAAAGAAAATGTGGTACATATGCACTGTGGAATACTATGCAGCCATAAGAAAGAATGAATCATGTCCTTCGCAGCAACATGGACGTAGCTGGAGACCATAATCCTAAGCAAATTAATGTAGGAGCAGAAAATCAAATACCACATGTTCTCACTTACAAGTGGGAGCTAACACATGAACCTAAATATGGGAAGAATAGGTACTACTGACTACTAGAGAGTGGAGGGAGTTGGGGTAGGTTGAAAAACTACTTGTTGGATATTACGCTCATTACGTGGGTGGTGGGATCTGTACCTCAAACCTCAGCATCATGTAACATTCCTATGTAACAAACCTGTACATGTACCCTCTATATCTAAAATATAAGTTGAAATTACATAAAAATAACTAAACTTAGAAAAAAATACCTTTGGGAGGTTTTCTTTATATAGTTATTTGCTATCTTGTTCAATGTATAAAGGTTTAGGTCTATTACATTTTCTCAAAAATTTATACTTTTGGGATCATTATGTATTGTGTCTCTTCCCCTTATTAAATGCTTTTTTCATAGATTTCCCTGCACTGTAATATTTCCATTTTTCATAGATTTCCTTGCACTCTAATATTTCCAAGACTGTTTTATGTTGTTCATAGTTGTCTAGGAATCTATTCCCCATCTCTTATTTCCAACTTACTTTTATCATTATATTTTTTGTACACAACATATGTGTACATTTTGTTTTTAACCCATCCCAACAATTATCCATCTCTAATTGGGAAATCCAGCCTGCTCACATTGCATACAATAAATGATATAATTGTTTTTATTACTTGCATTTTATTTCATGTTAGCTGTTTATTTTACTTTGCTATTGTTTTCTTTTTCCTTTTTATTATTTTTCTGGCTTTAGTATACTTGTATCATTCTTCTTTTTTGCTTGCTAATTATGTTCTACTATGCTTTTCAATATGGTAGTACTTATCTTTCATTCTGAAAAATCAAAATTTAATATATTGTTTTCTTTATTATATTAATAAAAGCAAATGGCATAGCTTTGATCACAATCCAAGATAAAAGTTTAGAAAGCATTAACAATCAATTTCCCCTATCTTTTGTCACATGCTATTCAGGATAAACTAGGACATGCTAGAAGGGAAAAATCCACCACAGTTATTTAGTATATGAGAGTTTATTTTTCACTTATGCAAAGTCTTATGCAGATAATTCTTTCTCTGTTCCTTACAGCCATCAAAGTGACTGAGCCCATCCCAAAGTGGGTATGGTTAGTAGTTAGTAGAGAGAGTCAGAAATTGTTTCTAAATACTTGTCCTATTTATTTACACGCAATCTCACACACACACACACACACACACACACACACACACGGAAAGTCTGCAGGACCTGTATCAGCTCTGAAAAGAAGTTTCCTCTGTCGGAATTCAGTGATCTCTGGTGTTTGGATCTTTTGATTCTATCATCTCAATATATGGAACCTTCAGTTGTTATGGAAGAAGAAGGCAGCTGAATCTTCAAAGACTGTGTTCATATGCCTTACTTTCACTCACATTGCAGTATCCTGAATTAGTCACATGGCCCCACCTAATGCAGTGACATCTGTGAAATACTGTATTTGCAAAAATGAAATGATATGAACATGTGGCACTGTCTCTGCTTACCTTCCCATGCTTCTAAATTCTTGGTTTCTTGAAACAGTTTAAAATTTAATTTTAGCTAGTATTGTTCTCCATATATCTCCATATATATCTATGGTTTCTAAATAGTTGGAAAACATTTTTGATAAGGAAATCACAATCAGAAGGAAAGCTGTTTTTCTTATGGAGACAAAAAAACAGGTTTCTTTATTAGAAATAATGAGACTTAGGAGAAACAGACGGTTACTGGGGAAGATACCACAGTTGGTTTATAACTTTCACCTGCCCAAGTGATGGGTAAAAAAACAGAGTTCAACCAAATGAAACAGAAACTGCAAGTGCAGATCCCACTGTCTGTGGCCTTGGCTGCAGGCTCTTCCTCAAGTCAGTGATGGTCTATTAAACAAAGGTCCATGCAAAAAGTTAAAACAGGCTGTACGTGTGCTCAATCGGTGGTTAGCTGCTTTAGAATAATTCCAATGAGAAGTTTGAGAGAACTTCAGGCAAAGCATAAAGCTTCAGGCAAAGATAAAGTTTCAGGCAATGCTTTAGGGTTGTAACAGGGGTTTTTGAAGTCTGTGATCTTGGGAACTTCTTGGCTGTTCCTGAACTATTTTTTGACATAGTATGGTTCATGTCAGTGTAAATGAAAAACTACTAGTGGACTCAGCCATATGTAAGGAAACTCAGGGACTGAGAGTAGTAGATTTTTTTTTAACATAGCTTGCTGTTTTAGCATGTGGCTGTTTGCTACTTGGAATTCTTTCTCTGTCCCTTACTGCTACTAAGGTGACTGACCCCATCCCAAAGTGATCAGATAGTACAGAGAGTCAAAAATTGTTCCCAAATACTTGTCCTGTTTATTTACACACAATCACTCACACACACACACACACACACACACACAGCCTCATGTACATATGCACACAGGTATAGATGGTTGAGTACTCTGCATTTTTTGAAACAATGTTCTTATTCCATTTTTATTTCATTAAAAAATCTATCTAATATGCTATGGCAATCTAAAATTTTCTTAGTGATATATTTCTTTTTGATGGGGAAATGATATTTTGTCTGGCTGTAGGACTCTTGAACACCAAATCCTTTTCTCTTAGTTGACTGTGATTACTACTAGAACAATTGTGATAAACTAGTAGATGTTATTTGATCATCTTATTTCTGTACAAATATATATATATATCTATTTTTGACAAGGTCTCATTATGTTGCCTAGGCTTGTCTCCAACTCCTGGGCTCAGGCAATCCTCCTGCCTCAGCCGTTTCAGTAGCTTGGATTACAGGTACTACACCTGGCTTTGTTGTATTTTTTAAAAAATATTCTCACTTGAATTTCAATGAGCCTTTTCAAGTTAAACACTGCAGCCTTTCTTCTGACTGTAAAGATAAGTAATTTTCTGTTATTTGTTTAGTTGTTCTTCTTCTGTTGCTTTATCTCATTCTAGAATGTCCAAATTTTCTGAAGCTATTCTCCAAATTTCTCATTTTTCTCTTTATTAGTTTAATTTTTTCTTTCTTTTGTCACATTTTGGCATTGCACTTGACAGACTAATCCACTAATTATCTATACTGATTTTCTTTTTTGTTTTTTAATTTAATTTTAAATTATTAAAATATCATGTAGCCTCGGCTTGCAAGGCAGGCCTTTAGTGATTGATGGCAAGCAGAATTGTTTCTATACTTGTGGAATGGTGGTAAGCTAGAGATACTGACAGCAATTGAACCAGTGGCTTGCCTTCAGGTGTTCACAAGTCACCAGAGATAGGCCTTTTTAGAATCATATATGAGCATGCCAGGGAAATCTCCCCAAGATAACTGACAGAACTTGGTTGTCTCCTGAACTCTTTGAATGAATGCATGATCAGGAACATCATCTATGGTTTTGTAGTTATCCTCCCATAAGAACAATGACTGAGTGAGTGAGTAGGAGCTGAAAACCAGCTCATGCTCCTCTAAATCATGTGCCCAAGAAGAAGGGAGTGTAGCCAGCATTTTTCTAATTGGCAAGACGGTATCAAATGGATCAATAGTGGCCCTTTTTAAAGTTTTGCAGGTAATGAATGGTCTCACTCCAGAGAAGGGAGAAAAAGCAGGGAGGAAGAAGAATTCAGAAACATCTATCAGTGTTGTCCTCTTGCTAGAACCTGCACCTTTTACTGCTTTCAAAAACACGATTTTAGGCAAAGAAATTGTCTGTCACAAATTCTAAAAATACATTCATCACAATTAGTCTTATTCCTGTGTATTTATTTACTTTTTCTTTGTGGAGAGGGTTTGATGTTATATGAGCGTGTTTGTGTTTACTCCTTTATATTACATTTAAATTATGAAATGGTAAAATTTTTTTTTACTATTAGTTTATTTTATATCTTCTGAATTTCACAAAAAATAAGATTATATTATACCAACAAATGTTCATACATACAGTAGACATACCTAATTCTTTTTAATTATTATATAGTATTTCAGTATATTATAAAAATTTAATATCTTATTGGTATATATTTTGATTATTCCCAACGGTTTTTTTTTTTCAACAATGTTGTACTGAGCCTTGTATAAATACATCTTTTAGCAAAAAGGGTCAACAACTATTTATTGAGTGTCTACCAGGGTTTGTGGAGTACCCAAGGATCCATAGACCAGAAAGTAAAGTATTTAGACAAGTTTCTAAAAAGGAAATGTATGGGTCAAACTGCATATTACTTGAAAGTTTCTAAAATATTGCCACATTATTCACAAATTAGTATCTAAGTTACCAGCTAATATGGTTTGGCACTGTGTCCCCACCCAATATCATTTTGTAGCTCTCATAATTCCCATGTGTTGTGGGAGGGACCCCAGGGGAGATGATTGAATTATGGGGGTGGGTCTTTCCTATGCTGTTCTCCTGATAGTGAATAGGTCTCAGGAGATCTGACTGTTTGAAAAATGGGAGTTCCTCCATAATAAGCTCTCTTTTTGCCTGCTGCCATCCGTGTAAGATGTGACTTGCTCCTCTATGCCTTCTGCCATTATTGTGAGGCCTCCCCAGCCATGTGGAACCGTAAGTCCAATAAATCTTTTTCGTTTATAAATTGCCCATTCTCAGGTATGTCTTTATCAACAGCGTGAAAACGGACTAATACACCAACAGTATAAAATATTGCTTGTTTCTTCACACCTTTCTCATAATGAATAGTATCCCTCTTTTTAATGTTACCAGTTTAAAAGGTAAAAATATGAAAATAAATTATTGATTTAATTTATTTTTTTAGTGTGATTGAGCATCTCATATGCTAAACCATTATAAGTATATGTTTTTAAGTAAATTGCCTCTTTTCAACTGGAGCATTTGTATTTTCCTCATTGATTTATACAATTTCTTTATACATTAAAAATAGTAACTTTCTGTCATGTGAATTATACATTATGTTTTCCTAGTAGATAACTTGGAATTCAATAGCAGAAGAGAGAATCAATACTAGATAAAGGAAGAAAAGCTGGGTGTGGGGTCCTATGTGGTTTATATAACCTGTGCCAGGGCTGAGGAACATAATGCAGTCTGATCTGTGAATGACTCCAAGAAGCATGCTACCAAACTCTGGACTGCCTTACATGCTCCTATTGTGTAATCTGAAACCCACTTGCTGGATTGGCAAGTAGCCACCCCACAGCTCAATCCAGAACCATACTGTCCCTGATACCACTCTGCATTAAACTGGGAGCTTGAGTTCTTCCTTCAGTTCAATTGCAAAATGAAACCCAAATCACACCCATAGGACTAGTTGCAAGGGAGAAGCTAGGTAAATACACAGGTACTGGGTAGACAAAGACATGTGAAGCAGGTTGTAATTAATACTGTATTATTCATTTGTTTAAATTTATTTTTAGTGCCACAGCCACAGAGGAATTTTAAATATTTAAACCACTAATGTTTTCCTAGTTGAAAACATTTTGTCCTGTTTTCAGAAAATAATCACACATTCCAAAACAATAGAAATATTTACTTTAGTATTGCTTTAAAAAATTTTTAAATATTTGAAATATGCTTGAATTTTTCTAGGTTTACAAAAACAGTATACAGACCATAATGGACTCTATGTACTATCCTGTTGTTTCATTAATTCACTAATATTCTTATGGACTTGGTATAAAAATATTAATTAGCTTTATTGAGGTATAATTCACATAGGATCTACTTGATTTCATGGACAATGAAATATTTTTAGTAAATTTACAGAGTTGTGCAAGGAATACCACACTCCAATTTCATAACATTTTTATCACCCATTTGCAGTCACTCCCCATTAGATATATAAGACATTTAAGACTTCTGACCTCTAGAACTGTAAGATAATAAATTTGTATTGTTTTAAGACACTAAATTTGTGGCAATTGGTTACAGTAGTAATAGGAGACAAATACGTTAGATTATGCAATAAATTTATGTGTGGCTTTATAAGAAATTGTCAACCTGTTTCTCCAAGTGGCTGCACTATTTTCTATATCCATCAACAATGAGTTAGGGCTCTTCTTCCTTCACATTCTTAATAATACTTTTTATATCCTGTCTTTTCTATTATAATCCTTCTACTGTGTTTTCAATGATATTGCACTATGGATTTTATATGCATTTTCATAATGACAAATTGACATTAGTCATTTTTTTTTATTTTTATGGGTACATAATAATTATACATATTTATGTGGTGCATGTGATATTTTGATAAAAGCAAACAATGTGTAATGATCAAATCGGGTAATAGTATATACAGCACTGCAAACATTTATGATTTCTTTGTTTTGGGGATATTTTTAATCTACTTTCCTAGCTATTTTGAAATATACAATAAACTATTTGTTAACTATAGTCACCCTATTGTGCTACCAAACATTAGAACTACTTTCTTCTATCTAACTATGTTTTTGTACTTATTAATCAATCTCTCCCACCCAACTACCCTTCCCAGACTCTGGTAACCACCATTCTATTTACATTTTGATATGCTTTTATTAGATATATGTGTACTTATTTGGTAAAATATTTATGTAGTCTTTTGAGCGTTTATTTATTAAGTTGTAAGAGTCACATATTCTGGAAATATGATTTACAAATATTTTATTTCAGCCTGGGGTTTGTCTTTTCATCTTCTTAGTGGTCTTTTTTGAAGCATGAACATTTTGAATTTTGATAAACAATTTATTACATTTTTGTTTACCTCTTTGGCTTTAAAAGTCATATCTAAGAAATCATTGCCTAATACAAAGTCACAAATATGTACTGTCATGTTTCCTTCTAACTTTTTAATTTTGCTTTTATATTTAAATCTATGATCCATTTTAGGTTAATTTTTCTATGTGGTGTGAGGTAAAAGTGTAAATTCATATTCTGACATATGGATTTCTGATGTCCTAATTATATTCCCTTGTACTCAAAAACTACCCTTTGTTAGTCCCTCTCTCTCTCATTTTTTTTTTGGTTTAAATTTTTCTTATTTTTTAGAGACAGGGTCTCCTTCTGATGTCCAGGCTGGAGAGCAGTGGTATAACCCTACTTAAGTACAACTTGGAATTACTGATCTCAATTTGCCAGGATTGACCAAATGATCCTTCACCTCAGCATCCTGAGGAGTAAGGACTACAGGTGCACATCACCACACCCAGCTCTTATTTATTTATTTATTTATTTATTTATTTATTTATTTTTATTTTCTTGTAGAGATGGAGTCTTGCTATGTTTCCCAGGCTGGTTTCAAACTCCTGGCCTCAAGGAGTTCTCCCGCATTAGCCTCCCAAAGTGCTGGGATTACAGGCATTAACCACGGCACCTCCCTTTCTTCACTATTATCTCTGTAGTTAAGTTTTGAAATTATGAAGGATATGTCCTCCAGCTTTATTCTTCTAGTCAATAATGTTTTGGCATTTTAGATGATTTCCATTTCCATATAAATTTTAGAATAGCTTGTCAATTTTTTCAAAAGATTTATTCAAAGGAGCCAGTTGGGAGTTTGATAGAGTTTGTATTGAATCTATAGATCAAGCTGGGAAGTATCATCTTAAAAATATTTGTCCCTATCCATAATCATGGAATATCTTTCCATCCACTTAAATCATTTAGAATTTCTCCGGACAATATTCATTTTCAAAGCATGAATTTTGACTTTTTTCTTAAATGTGTTCCTACCTATTTTATTGGTATATGTAGAACTACAACTAATATTGTTTAATTATCTTATATCCTATGACTTCGCTGAATTTGTTTACTAGTTCTAGTAGTTTGTGTATTTCTTTGATTTATACAGCATTATGTCATGTGTGAATATTACAGTTTTATTCTTTTTATTCTTTATTTTCAGTTTGATGCTTTTATTTCTATGTCTTCTCTGATTGCACTAACTAGAATCCTCAATGCAGTGCTGAATAGATGTTATGAGACACATGCTTATATTCTTCCCAATTAAGGGGAAAACATACAGTCTCTCAACAGTAAGCAGAAAGCTAATTTTGGGGGTTTTCATAGATACCCTTTATTAGGTTGAAGAAGTTCTATTTTATTTGGAGTTTTTAAGCTTTTTTTTTTAAAGCAAATAAAACTGGATGGTGGATATCATGAAGCAATTTTCTGCATCTGTCAAAAAGATCTTATGGCTCTTGTCCTTTAATTTATTAATATGATGTTTCACATTAACCAATTTTAAGCTATTAATTCCATGTTGCATTTCTATGATACTCCTGCTTGGTCATGCTTTATCATTCTTTTTGGTTTTGCTAGATTTTGTTTATATTTTGTTGAGAATTTTTGTTTTCTAAAATAATTATTTTATTTTAGGTTCGGTGGTACATGAAGTTTGTTACACACGTCAACTCATGTCAAGGAGGTTTATTGTACAGATTATTTCATCACTCAGGATTAAGTCCTGTACCCGATAGTTATCTGTTTTGCTCCTCTCCCTCCGCCCAACCTCAGCCGTCAAAAAGACGCCAGTGTCTGTTGTTTCCTTCTTTGTGTTCATAATTTCTCATAATTTAGCTCCCACTTGTAAGAACATGTGGTATTTGGTTTTCTGTTCCTCCTTTAGTTTGCTAAGGATGATAGCCTCCAGGTCCATCCATGTTCCTGAAAAAGACACAATCTTGTTCTTTTTTGTGGATGCATAGTATTCTATGGTATATATGTGTCACATTTTTTTTTTTTTTTACTCAATCTTTCATTGATGGGCATTTAAGTTGATTCCATGTCTTTGCTATTGTGAATAATGCTGCAGTGAACATTTGCATGCCTGTGTCTTTACGGTAGAATAATTTGTATTCCTGTGGGTACATACCCAGTAATGGGATTGCTGGGTCAAATGGTAGTTCTGCTTTTAGCTCCTTGAGGAAATGCCACACAGCTTTCCACAATGGTTGAATTCATTACTCTCCCACCAACCATTTTATAAATGTTCCCTTTTCTCTGCAACCTTGCCAGCAACTGTTAATGTTTTGACTTTTTAATAATAGCCATTCTGCATTTGTATTCATTGGGAATATTGATACATAATTTACCTCAGGGATGTGTTTGTATGGTTTCGGTATCAAGGTAATATTGACCTCAAATAACACATTGGAAAATGTTCATTCCTCCTCAGTTTTCTGCAAAAAAAAAAAAAGAGAGAGAGAGAAAGACTAATAATATTTCTGCTTTCAGTTTCTGTTAAAATTAACCTACAGACCCTGTATTTTGCCAATAGAAAATTCTCAATTACTGATTTTTAATTACTAATTTAAATTCTTTACTATTTTAGTTATATTGAGCTTTTCAAATTTCTTTGGACCTGATTTAAAGTTTGTTAACCTTTCCTCTTTTATACTCAATCTGCTGTTAAGCCTATGAAATATATTTTTGATTGCATATGTAGTACTTTTCAGGTGTTTTTTCTGATGGTTATGAATTTGTCAATTTCATTTTTTTATATGTATTTTATCTTTTTTAAGGGTATTTTAGTTATTTACAGAAATCAGTTTGGAAGTTGTTGTTTCTTCCACACTTTAAAGATGTTGCTCCATTATTTTCCAGCTCTCACAGTCTGCATTGAAAAGTTATCCACAATCTAATTTATTTTTGAAGGAGCAATGTCATACATCCTCTGACTACTATTAAGACTTTTTTCTCTTTCTCTATGAGATCTTTGCATTTTGACTATGATGGGCCTTGGTGTGATTTTTTTTTATCTTGGTATGGAGTTCATTAAGGTTCTTCATTGTGTAAGCGGTCTTAATTACCTGTAGAAAATTTTCAGCTTTGTGTATTCTGATTATTTTTCTGCAATCTCCTTTTCATTTCCTTCCACCATTTTCAATTACATGTACTTATTCCTTTGACCATGTTTCTCATTATGTTGTTACTTTTTCTCCCATAGGTTTTCCTCTTGTTGCTTTAGTTGTGTTTTCCTTCACCCTGAATTTGGATTCACTGGTTTTTCCACTGTTAAGTCTGCTGTTAGATCTGTCTAATAAATTCCTAATTTCAGATATCGTGTAGATCTGGAATATAAACACAATTTTTATAAATTCCAGTTTCTATTGACATTTTCCATCTCTTCATCTAGTTTGTCATTTTTTTAAAGTTCTCAAACATAGTAATCATAATTATTAAGTTCATATCTGATATCTTCAATAAATGAATGAATCATTGGTAGTCTCTTTGTTTTATCTTTTTCTTGGTGGAGTTCGGGAGCTTATTTAATAGATACTATTTTTAGCATGTCTTAAATTTTGTTTAGTAAATTCTGCTATTATGTTCCTGCAAACAGGGTTAACTTCTCTGTTGGCAGGCAGACAGAACACTGATGGGTTTTCTTAGTAAGTCCTGGTTTTAGGGTTTCTTAGAGTTATTCTTGAGTTCTGTTACCCCAGTGACATACTTATTGTTCTTAGGGTATAGCCCTTACTTCTTGAATGTATGCTTCTTTTGGTTTCTTGACTAAAAAATGTAATGTGTTTTCCTTCATCTTATAGTGATTTGAATTCAGCCTCTCTGCCCTTGTGTCAGGGGGCTACTCTCATCCCCACTCAACTTTTTAGTCTCCTTCCAGCCAAGATTTATTGAATTTCATAGAGCTCATTCCTATGAATACACAGTTTAGAAGCTGGGCAATGACATAGTGGGAAGCTGTACTCAAAATATCAGACTTCTTTTTTCGTGTGTATGTATTTTTATTCCCTTTCCAAGATCCTCAGGACTCCACAAGTTTAGTTATCCCAGACTTCGATTTTCAGGTCTCCAGTTGTATAAGAATGCTAGTTAATCTGCTGCACTGCAAGTTAAAAAATGGCTCTAAGGAAAAAGCAGAGGTGACTAAATCTCACCATGTAAGTTCCCTTTCTCTCAGTTTCTAACTCCTCAAGCCTGTCTGCACTGGATGATCTCTATGACCTTCAAAACGTTTTCATACATATTTTTTATCAAGGGTTATGGTTTTAGTTGGCAAGATTAGTGCTATCTACTCTGTTATGGCTGGAACTGGAATTCTATTTTCTATAGTATTATCTTTTTATTTATTGCATATCTGTGGCCATATATCATTTCCCATTCCGAATGGTAGATATTTTGGATATTGCATATTTTATGTTTCTAACAATAGCCTTTATTGAAATTTGTCCATATTATCATTCTTGTCAAAAACCCTGCTCTCAGTCCCATTTATATAAATGGTTTTTTTATTTCATTATTGTATAGATTTATATTAATTGGTGCCTAAATCAATTTTATCTAGTTATAAGTTTCTTTTTCTAGACTATTTTTGTTTATATTTTTATTTTAAAACAGTATTTGTAAATACAAATGTAATGTTTTGATGTTTATGTAATTTTACTTGCCTTTTAAAAGTTTAATGTTTAATATTGTTACTGTCATACTTTTAAACATAATATATAATTAAAAAATATATTTGTCTAAAGCATTATAAAAAGAATTTTTGTAGGTTGCCTATGGAGAAAATTTTTGCAATCTATCCATCTGAAAAAATGCTAATATCCAGAGTCTACAAGGAATTTAAATAAATTTACAAGAAAAAAAAACCCATATAAAAGTGGGTGAAGGATATGAACAGACACTTCTCAAAAAAAGACATGTGGCCAAAAAACATGAAAAAAAGCTCATCATCACTGGCCATTAAAGAAATGCAAATCAAAACCACAATGAGATACCACCTCATGACAGTTAGAATGACAATCATTAAAAACTCAGGAAACAGGCCAGGCACGGTGGCTCATGCCTGTAGTCCCAGCATTTTGGGAGGCCGAGGCGGGTGGATCACCTGAGGTCGGGAGTTTGAGACCAGCCTGACCTACATGAAGAAACCCTGTCTCTACTAAAAATACAAAATTAGCTGGGCATGGTGGCGCATGCCTGTAATCCCAGCTACTCAGGAGGCTAAGGCAGGAGAATCGCTTGAGCCTGGGAGGTAGCGGTTGCAGTGAGCCGATATCATGCCATTGCACTCCAGCCTGGACAACAGGAACAACACTCTATCTCAAAAAAAAAAAAAAAAAAGTCAGGAAACAAGAGATGCTAGAGAGGATGTGGAGAAATAGGAACACTTTTATGCTGTTGTTAGGAGTGTAAATTAGTTCAACCACTGTGGAAGACAGTGTGGTGATTCCTCAAGGATCTAGAACCAGAAATAACCATTTGACCCAGGAATCCCATTACTGGGTATGTACCCAAAGGAGTATAAATCATTCTACTATAAAGACACATGCACATGTATGTTTATTGCAGCACTATTCACAATAGCAAAGACTTGGAACCAACCCAAATGCCCATCAATGATAGACTGGATAAAGAAAATGTGGCACATAAACACCACAATACTATGCAAACATAAAAAAAGATGAGGTCATGTCCTTTTCAGGGACATGGATGAAGCTGGAGACCATCATTCTCAGCAAACTAACACAGGAACAGAAAACCAAACACCGCATATTCTCATCCATAAATGGGAGTAGAACAATGGGAACACATGGACACAGGGAGGGGAACATCACACACCGGGGTGTGTCAGGGGATGGGGGGCTAGGGGAGGGATAGCATTAGGAGAAATACTTAATGGAGATGACAGGTTGATGGGTGCAGCAAACCACCATGGCACGTGTATACCTATGTAACAAACCTGCACATTATGCACATGTATCCCAGAATTTAAGTATAATTTTAAAAAAGAGTTTTTAAATAATTTCTTATTATCAGATTATTTCTATTTTTTTGCATTTATTTTCTCCATATCACTCATTATAGTAAAAAAAAAAACAGGCTTAACAGTGAGTAATTTTGTAAATTATTCCCAGCACTTGATCAATCCTGGACAATGTTCAATAGATAATAAATTGTGGTCCAAATCTACAATGTCATTTATTTTATCTAATGATTCTGTCAAATTCTTAGAAAGGCACCTTGCATTAACTTCGATTTGCAAGCATGATGCATATTTAGTAATTTTTATTATATATTTCAGTACAATTTTTTTATTCTATGAATTCATATATTCATAGTGACTTTTAACATTTTAAAAGTAAGAATAGGTGAGATCTCATTGAGTGTTCTTGCTAGGTACTATATGATTTTTTCTTGTATTACTTCATCCAAGTTGCATTATATCTAGAAGAGCTTCTTTGGACTCTGTGGGATCTTTGTCTAATTACAAAGAAGATAAAGTTTTATTTATTTTGGGCTCCTTTGTTTGCATTTTGAAGAACTTCAGGGAAGAGAAATGTAAAACTATAAATTTTTGTACCAATCATGTGTGAAGTTTTAGTTGTGTTCATATTGACATGCCACATTGTCCTTGTTACATGGTAGGCTTTCAATGTATATTTAGATTGACTAACTTTACTAGTTTATTGTTATCTTGTGTTACTGTTTTCTAAAACATATTTATATGCTTTAGAGGTCATAAATTATTTTTCTGGAATAGTTTTGGAATGTAATTTTAAAATAGGCATGAAAACAATAATACTATTATGTCTCTATGCTAGGCACTGTGCTAAATATTTGACTTAATAATTCACATTTCATTCTTATAGTGGCCTTGAAATTATTTTTATCATATTTATTTTTATTTTACCAACAGAAAACTGAAAATCAGAGAGGATATTATCTTAATTAATTTCTACAACTTTCAGGTGGTGAATTCAAATTAAGTTTGCCTGTCTCAAGAGCCCATACTCTTAGTCATTATGTTATCTAACTGGTTATAATTCATGATTTTAGCCATTCCAGTTCCATCATCTATAATTTGAAAATCTGTTTACAAGATAGTTGTGAACTAGAGAGTAGTGTTTTATGTAAACTTCTTGATTTAGAGAATCAAGAGTGGCTGAAACTATTTATATGTGACTTCATTCTTTCATTCATCCATTCAACCAATAATTTTTTCTTATGTCTCTTGCTCTGAAAGGCAATAGTCTGGGTGCTTGAAATAATATACAAAGATGTTATAATCAGAATTTTCTTTTAGAATCTTATAGTTTATTACAGGAACTCCTGTATAGCATAATTCAACTGTAAAATATAATATGAAGTTGTTAGTTTATGGAAGAGAGGGACACTTTTAATTTTAATTACCCACAAACTTTTCTATATATGCAGTTTAAGTTTCACTCATATTTTGCTTTATAACTGTTTTCTAGATTGCTGGCAATCTATGACTGTCAATTTAGCAGTTCCCCATCATAATTTATATTTTTGCTACCATTGTGTCTTCACTATTTAACCAGTTAATATTGTCCACTGTTTTCTCATTTTTACATACATTAGAGCAGTACAGGCTTTTAAAAATTTTATTTCATTTCAAAATATATTTATAATTTTTATTTTTTATAATTAGACTTTTTATTTACAATAGTTTACTATTGGATTTTATAGGTTTCTGTCTTCAAAGCAGTCAGATATATACACACACACACACACACACACACACACTCACACATATATATATGTTTTGTTTTTCAACTCACTGATCTTAATCTACTTGCAAAATCTGGAGGATTCACATTGCTGAGGTTTGCCACCTGGGCAAGGAGAAAATAGTCTTCTGGGCAAATCATAATACCCACATTTTATTTCTTTTCTTGAGCTTTAGAGAGCACCTCCTTTATGTCATTATATTCTTCTTTAAATACCCGTAATAACCATACTGTCTTCACTTTTGTCAAATTTTGGGAAGCATCTTGTGCTAACTCTTGAGGTGGCAAAAATAACTGATTAGGTCAAGCTACAAGAGATACATATTAAATACAAATTAATATGCCTTCAAATTTATCATCCCCAAAGTATACATATTTGATTTTAAGAATATTATATTTTCATAGCCAAATTCAATGTACAAGGAGAAAAGCACATGATAAAACAGCATATGAGAGATGAATGCCAATTACCACCCAAAGGATCAAACACAAATTTTCAGAAAGAGTATAATATACAATCAGGAAACTAGAACCAAATTGTGTTTTCATTGTAGAGAAACAATTTAAATCTTGCTACATTTACACATGTTTATGGAAAAACACGTAGCTGAATGACTGTCAGTACAGATGGATTTGTCTATAAATGGGTAAATTTTGGAAGGATTTTAATGATCCACTCTTCTTTCTTTTTAATGAGCTACATCAACGTGTTTACCTCAACAATGTAATGAATTCAGAGAATCTTGAACTTGAATCCTTATTTTGGTCTCTTGTGCTTATGTGTAAAATTATATCCTTTATATATCTACAGGAAAGGGATACATTTTCCTACCATTTTTTTCATGAGTATATTAGAGTAAATAAAAACACGATGAATATTGCGAAAATAAATTATTAACTTTATGTCTATTATGTTGGTCATAACACTTCAGGATATTAAAATATAAAATATCAAGACCACAGTGGTTTAGTGTAAGGGACTTTCTTCACATATGTTAAATATTTATAAAATTTTGAAATTAAAAATCTACAATTGTACATGAAGAGTCATTAAAAAAAAACCAAGTCATCCTATTGATTAGTTACATAAACTGTATGAAGATTTGGAGCATGGAGATCTGGAATGCACAGGTCAATTTATACAAAAACTCCAGATATTTTACATTTTAACAGCTTGAATTTCTGATCCACAATGATAGTGCCTACATTACTAAATAACAGTATTTACTAATTTAATACCTTTTTTGAAGTGCTCAGGGACAAACCTAATGGGCTGTATAAACACAGTTTATCAGTGAAACCTGAAAAACCGGATGAAAAGAAGGTTTAGGATTATAAAACTCATTTGTTATTTTTTTGTGTCTCAGATCCATGATTTTAGGTGTTTTTAAATGTCCACTAACACTTGAGGTGGCAAAAATAACTGAATAGGTCAAGCTACAAGAGATACATAATAAATACAAATTAATATGCCTTCAGATTTCCTGTCAGAGAGTGGGTAAAGACTAAACTTACTTCCAGAGCCGGTGGGCATGGAAGTATCCCTGTTTGACCCACATCTGTATCATAGTTAGATACTATCACATGCATCTTCAAGGAGTGTGAAACAAATTATTTTTATCTTCATCCAAAGATAGAGGAAATGAGTAGGAAATTTTCAACTTTCTCTCAGTTTCTGACACTTATACAGTGGCCTGAAAACTGAAAATATATCTCAAATTACAGTTCCATGATAGAGACATAAGAAAGTGAAGTAACTCATCAAAGCATGCAAAGTTCCTAGTTCAGTTCTCTGGAAAGGAGAGAGTGGCAAGTAGACAGATTTTCTGTCACTCTGATCTAATGGTAACTAACAGTCATGGAAAATGTGTTAGGTATCAGTTCAAAAGGCTTTTTAGATAACAGCTTAAGCCTCAACTTATAGCCAGTATCTGAGCAGTCATAAATATACACCTCTAATTTCTGTATATTTTCCTCTTGTACATAGGTAGACTTATTTTTCCCTTTTTTTCTCATTCATCAAATATGCCTTCATTGCCCAAACCATCATTTTTATCACTGGACTCTCATGGCATACTATCTGCAGGTCAACAAGCCATAAACTGAGCAAATCTATCTGTTAAAAAAATCATGCAATGACTCAAATTGATGATCCAATTTAATTTGTCAAGCATCCTCATTGATCTCATCTGACTGTGAATCAATTTGCTGCCAAATACGTATGTGTGTGTTTCACTTTCACTACAAGTTAAAGATTCATTTGTTCAAAGAGATTTTGTGTTCAATAAACCATCCTACTTGACTTGAAGGGACTCTTCCTGAGATACTGGTAAGTAAATAGAAGTTTTGGAAATTTGTTTACGATCTTACTTGAAATAAAGGGAAAGTTTTAAGTTGTCATTTGGATTGAGGATTAGGAGAAATAGTATTAATATTATGGTGAAGATTATTTCTAGCATATTTAATTACAATATGTGGCTAAAGTAACACAAATAGGCAATGACAACAGATTACATACTTATTGGTACAAAAGAGAAATATTCAATTATTAGAATTTTTTGTTAAAATATTAACAGTATGATCAGTGACTAATCTTTAACATCATAAGTTCAGGCTTTTATTAAATTTTGGAACTAATTTTATAACGTTAACATTAATTCTACAGAACTCGCCAATACAGCAGGGACTCAGTTTTTATATCTGCATTGCATTTTTATCTACCTCCAAATTTTATCGATTCCATCCAGGAATAATTTGCCTTTCTGTTGACCACCGCAGACATGTTTTGTTTGCACCCTGCAATTTGAAAAAAAAAGAAAAAGAAAAAGAAAAAGAAAACCTAAATATTCAGTTTACCTCATGATATTCAGTTTACCTCATCATCCTACACGTGTACGTCTTGTCCCTTCAAATCATCTGGTCCCAATAAACATGAATCATGCCAACAAATAACATATTACTTTTCTCTTAAAGCTGGAACATATTACCACTGACTTGGTAGCTTAGAAAACACACATTTATTTTCTTATAATAACAGAGTCCTGAAGTCACACTGGGCTAAGGTCAAGGTGTCAGCAGAACTGTGTTTTATTCTGGAAATGATAAGAGATAATCGATTTTCCCAGCTTCTAGAGGATGCTTGCATTCCTTTGCTCCTGGCCTCATTTCAGTAGTTACATCATTCTGACCTTTGCCTCCACTGTCACACCCCCTTGTCTGACTCTTACTCTCCTGCTTCCTATAAGGACTCCTGCAATTATTTTGAGCTCACCCAGATTATCGAGAGTAATCACAAGAGCCTTAAATTAGCTACATCTGCAAACTCCCTGTTGTCATGTAGGGTAAATTATTCACAGGCTCCACAGGGTTTGGGAGCCATTATCTGCCTAACCAAAAGAGACATGTAGGAAGGGTTCCAGATATTTTTTTAAAGAGTTGAATAAAAGATTTTTAGTTTTATGCATATATATAAATTTCCTGTTTTATAAATTGGTTGTATAATGTAAATTTGAAATTTGGGTTTTTCCTGGCTCATTTTCTCATTTCTTTATATTGCTATGCACTTATTTGTTGTTTTTTGTTTTTGTTAATCTTCCCTAGAACCTGGCATTTATTTATTTGTTTGCGGAAAGAAGCGACAAAGTTAGTCAAAACTTTTTAAGATTATAAGAATAGAATAAATTATCCACAAACATTTTGGACATTATTATTTTACTTGATTTGCACAATTAGTCTTTGGAAAATGTGGATGAGAAATGGGAAGCACATGTAGTTTTTTATACATTTTTTATTAAGAAAGTACTCTGAGTTCCAGTACTTGGATGGTGACCTTATTTTTCTTTTGTTTGGGAAGATATGGCTATGTATTAAATGGTCATTTTCCCCTACACTGAAAACCATAAAATCCTGTGAAAGTTCTATATTGTCCACAGTGCCATTTTAGTGGAGGTTCTTCTAAAGGTTTATAGTAACAAACCGAAGAAAGGTATTTAACCCAGTGACTGTTTCATCCTTTATATAGATGAGAAAGTTAACTAAGTCCTCATCTGCTTCCTTAATGGATACAATATTTGCATTTCAATGTGTTTTTATCATATTCAGTCCTAATAAACTATGAGAGTTATGAATGATTATAGGAGATACAAGTTACTTTCTCTTTGGAAAATATACAATCCTTTTTATTTTATCCTCCATTTATATAACTTTTATACATGTCATATCTTTGCATGCAAAAATGGAGAGAAATAAGCAAGTTGATATTTATTTTTGTGACTATTGTTATAATAGATAATACATACTGAGCTCCTCCTCTGTGCTAGGCACTTAGTACCTCATAATATCTACCCATTTAATCCCCAAAGCAACCCCATGAAATAGATACTTTTAATACCTCCTAGTCTACAATTGTGGAAACTTTTATAAAGACACAAAGCTTAAACAACTTTCCCAAAATTATATTAATGGCCACTAATGTGGAGGAGTGATTTGCACCTAAGCCAACTGTCTTGGAAGTCCACATTCTTAGCTGAAAGGGAAATCTGCGTTTAGTAAAGGTATGAGATGGAGCTAAGTTTCTTCATCTGTATTCTGTAACTTGGTCATTATAATAATAAACATTATAGGATTCTCAGTTCTCAAAAACTAACAAAAAAAAAAAAAAAAAAGGAAAAAAGGACAGCCTGTGATGTAAAATGTAAATGTGCCAAGTAGTTTAGAACCACAGACTTTCAGGGATTTAGTCAAGCTTAGAATCATTCCAAACTATTCATGAACAAAGTACTGAATGATATAAAGGTGAATTAGAGACTGCTATTGCCATTGTTGTTGCCTCAAAGGAGCCATAGCAGGTCTGGTATGACTTATAGTAAATCTCCATACAGTCTATGAATTATTGTTAATAAAAATTTCAACCCTTCTGTCCCCACCAAAAACAGTCTCATTCTGACAAATTTATATGGCAAATCCTAATCTGAGACAAAGACCTCAGGGAGATCTGTTCCAAACCTGCAGGACGCATCACAAAGTAGTCCTTGTTACTAGTGTAGCCTTTACTTCATTGGTATTTAGGAAACTTAAAATTCACCTTATGTATTTGTATTTGAGTCATTTTACTAATATTCTTGATGCATCATTCCTACTGAATAGGAGTCATCTTCAATATTCCAGCACCCAATCCCAAGAGCAGTGATTCTGATTTGTGATTACTACCTGGTGACTGGGACCTGACTACTTGCTGAAAGAATTTGGCTATGCTGACTCCCTGCTTACTGACTATGCTTTGTGAGTAGCATCCAGTCTGTTTCTTAGTGACTGACATCCTTTGACTAGCACAGTTGAACTTAGTTAAACAAAAATTATTGAGTGTAAAGTGATTTAATATCCAATCTCTGGAGTCAAATCTTGGCTCCATCATTTACTAGGTGTGTGGCTGTGAGGCAGCTACTAACCTTTGTAATTCCAGTTTACTTCCTCTAAATAAAATAACAAAAACAAACCAACAAAAACAAAAGCAGCAAAAATATTTCGACTTTTCTATGTATACAAACTTTAGAAAAAAATAAGAGAATCAATACTCGAAATGATGAAATCAACAATTGTGTCACAACCCATGGGAATATAGAGGGGGAAAAGCAATAAATTTATGCATATCACCTTCCTATCATCTCTATCCAGGATTTTATATTGGAAGTGTCATGTCTGGCATGATATGGGATCTAGTAAGACTGAAATTAGACAGAAGTACAAAGAACTGAGTGAATGCAGGAATCTAAGAGACATAGTTATAGGGAAAAAGCATGGGCAAGTGTGGTTTGGTCAAGGGACTTGTCAAAAAAGGAGCCAGCATGAGAATCTAAGTTGAGTTACCCAGGAAAGCAGGTGAGATGACTGGAAACTGCACCTGGGGGAAGCCATGAGTAGAGACATTTAATTATGCAGGTTGATGTCTCTTCCCTCAAGTCACTTTTAATGAGCTGAGAGTCTGAGGTGGCTGAGATTCCTTTGACAGCAGTGTGGTTCAGGTTCAGCCCAGCACCTAACCAGAGAAGCAAGGTCTCTAAAATCCTGCATCCACTGCAGTGTCAGAAAGTCACAAAATCATAGAAAATTCTCTCATTTTCTTTTTACATTGGAAGACCTATTTCTATGCTGTTGGGGTACTTTTCTTTCCGAACGTTTCAAATATTTCAAGAATTCTATTGTGCAACATGTTGAGGTCACAAATGAGAAGAAAGGTAAATTTCTAATTTTTTTTCTTGTTAAAATTGAGAAATTGATGGAACATCAGTTGAGATCATGATTTTACACAGAGGCTGCAGTGGCTTTGTTTTCAGTTTATGAAAACAGTTAACAATTTTATTTAACCTGGGAAGATAAAACATTCTATTCTTTCTCAAATGAACAGGATATCAATTTTAAACTGTGGGCTTATGGTCACATCTTCTTTTCCTAACATATAGGAGATGTTAGAATGTTGCTGTGGGCACTCACACATGACACATGGTGGCTGGACTATAGTGGGGCAGTGAGAGTACAAGTAAGAGTCTCCTAAAGTCCTTATCAAGTGTAATCAGGAGTAAACTCAAAATAAACCGGCTTTTATGTACAGCTCTAACTATTCCTGAAGACTATTCTGGATTATAGAATTCAGTGAGCTTCTTTCAGGGCCGTAGCTTCATCAAAAAATCAAGGAAAATTTCAATTCAGTGGCAGGATTACTGTACATATTAGAAGTGATTAGCTGCATTCATGAATCCATAATCACACCTGCAAATGACGAATGAATCTATAGAAATAGGAAGCATTTCAAAGCCATGAATATGCATGCAGTGTGTTGCCAGAAATATCATAATAAACATAGTTTGTGAGTATCCAGGATCTAGCAATACTGTTGTTATTTTCCAGATGTCAGAACTCAGCCATTTTGACCAAAACAGATAAACCTGAAGTTCAATATTGAGAAGTCACCATGCATGGTGCTCATTTCAGAAAAGCCAGTTTTATGTGTGTTAGAGACATAACTATTCTGAGAAGTGGCTTCAGGGGTACCAAGAAAGCTCAATCAATACTCACTCACCCTCTTTATATATCCTCTCCCCCAAAATAAGATTTATATGTTGGCTGGTGCCTGGACTTTTCTTTATTAAGACTTTACTTTTAGTTTATTAAGGCTATATTTATAATTTTCAGATGGTAGAAAATACCACATGCCCACAAATTTAAAACAAACCATGCCATCAGCCTGTTGGCCTTAAAAAACAAAATACAGATGATCTCTTAAGGGACATTTTTAATTGAGAATATTGGAGATAGCATGAGGTCTTTGAGGTTTGGGAACTTGAGTTAAATATGTTTGTAATATTGCAATTAAGTGCAGATGAATATATTATATACACCTGAAGACACACAGTACTTTCTGATTCTCTAACCCTCCATTCATAAGATTGCCTTTACACTTTCATTACTTTCTGAATAATTGCAACAGAGAATTATGGATGTATAAAAATGAGGCTTATTCAGAAGCAAACAACACCACACTTAAAACTACAGAGACATTGGGAAGTTAATTTTCTTTTATTCTAATTACATTGGCTTATTCTCTCTAGATTTAGAGCTTAAATTACCAACTTCTTTGTGAATCATATATTGATGTCATCAATACTCATTAGTGTTACAAACCTCTTGGGGGAAAGCAATGGTGAAGCCTTAGAAACATGTAGTTTTATGGAACACTGATTAACCCTATAAATATATGCCAAAAAGGAGACTCCTTGGGAAATGCCTGTTTCATTAAAATCCTTACTTTGTATTCTAATAGATCACCTTGCTGTCTGGAGAAGACAAACTAAATAAAATAATAAGACCTATTTCTTTCCTTTAACCAGTTAGGTGTCTTTTTTGAAAGATAGACTTTCTGTGGGTAAACCTTCACTTTATTTTACCTAATTTAATTAGGATATGAATTGAGTGATGATGCTATATGATTATAACAATGCAAATATTGAGATATTTGTTGAGTCTTAGAATCAGAATATCATAAAGTGTGATATGAATATGATAAGAAGAAGCAAATTTAAATGAATAAATAAGTATTTTTAAGGACTGTTCTGGGCCAATTACTGTTCAAGGATGAAGATAAGGAAAGCTCTCCCCTTTTAGATTCCGCAGTATAGGAAATGAAACCAACTAATAACTAGGTAGCACACAATATTATATGGTGCTTGATATAGTCTGAATCTGTGTCCCTGCCCCAATCTCATGTTTAATTGTAATCCCCAGTGTTGGAGGTGGGGACTGGTGGGAGGTGACTAGATCATGGGGCAGTTTCGTATGGTTTAACAGCATCCCCCAGTGTTGCTCTTGTGATAGAGTTATCATGAGATATGGTTGTTTAAAAGTGTGTAGCACCTCCCTGCCTCTTGGTCCTGCTCCTGCCATGTAAGATGCCTACTTGTGCTTTGCCTTCTGCCATGAGTAAAAGTTCCCTGAGGTTCCCCAGAAGCAGATGCTACCATGCTTCTTGATAGGGTTTGGCTCTGTGTCCCCACCCAAATCTCATCTTGAACTGTGTCTCCCATAATTCCCATTGTTGTGGGAGGGACCTGGTGGAGATCATTGAATCATGGCAGTGGTTTCCCCCATACTGTTCTCATGGTAATGAATAAGTCTCACATGATCTGATGGTTTTATAGTTAGAAACTCCTTTTTCTTGGCTCTCACTCTCTCTTTGCCTGCCTCCATAAGTGTAAGACCTGACTTGCTCCTCCTTGCCTTCCGCCATGATGGTGAGGCTTCCCTAGCCATGAGGAACTGTAAGTCCAATTAAACCTCTTTCTGTTGTAAATTGCCCAGTCTTGGGTATGTCTTTATTAGCAGTGTGAAAATGGGCTACTACATTTTCTGTTCAGCCTGTGGGACTGTGAGCCTATTAAACCTCTTTTCTTTGTAAATTACCCAGTCTCAGGTATTTATTTATAGCAGTATAAATTGACTAATACAGTTCTTAATATCATAAGGAAAATTCAACAACTCACAGGATGCAACAATTGTGGTGATATATACTGGGGACATATAAATCAGTTTTGTGTGTAGAGAGTGGTAAGGGCAGTTTTCCAAATAATTTTTTTTAAAGCTGTGAGCAGTGGGGTAAATAGAAAACATCAAAACATCAACAGAATATTCTAAGAATGTTCAAAGTGAAGAATTGTGTGAAAAATGGTATTTCATTAGGGAAACTCAAATGTACTCTTTACGGAGGAGAAGCGAAGCAGAGCACAGTCTGAAGGAGAAAAAGGGACTATATAATACATATCTTTTTAAGGCATATACAAGACTTGAATCTCATCTTTAAACTAGTGGAGAACATTGTACAATTTTAAACTAAAGCTACATGTGCTTCCTCAGGTACTCTGAGACCAAAGGTAAGAGTTCTATCAGTAGTTAGTTTAGCAGTCAATACTCAGTAGCAAATAGATATTTTCTTTTGCGATCTCTCTCTCTGATTCTATTTCTCTCTTTCCCCTTCCTTCCTCCATTCCTCATTCTCCCGTCATGTTTTTGGGTTCTCTTGATAGCTCTTTCTGTCTTACACATTTATAAATGTTTCCTAATGAATAAGTTTAAAAAAATGAGTACATATTGGCACTCATTGACTTACATTCAAAGTTTTGAAAGAAAAAAAAAAGTCAGTCAAGAATCCATTTTAAAAACTTTTTTCTATTCTGCCTCTTAAGTCCATCAGAAGAGAATCTTATATTCAGCAAGACTGTATTTCAAAACTTAAGGTGAAATAAATAACTTTGCAGATAAACAAAAACTGAAAGAATTATTGATAGCCTGTTTACTTTATAGAAAATACTAAAAGGGATTCTTCAGACTGTAAGCAAGTGACTTCCAACTATAATTTGAATCCATATAAAAAACAGAGAGCACTGATACAGGTAATTTTGTAATTATAATAATCAGAATAAATGCCAACTTATTTTTCTTTCTTCTCTGATGTGACTTAGTAAGCAGCCAAATGAAACAATGTGTATGTAATTATATTGTACCTATAATATAGAAATGTAAGGTATTTGACAAAATACCACAGAAAGATGGATTAAGAGTAAACCTCAGTTACCATAAGGCAGTGACACCTGGTGATAATTCAAATCCACAGGAACAAATGAGAAGAACTAGACATGATAAATGTTAATATAATATACCTTCTAATTATGTACTGGTTCTTTTTTCTTCTCTGTATGTATTTAACATATATAAAAATAAAGGATATTATTTATAAAACAATCCAATACAGAGCAGCAGGACACATTATTTGAAAGTGAACATGGAACATTATTCAATATAGTCTATATTATAGGCAAAACAACAAGCCAAATCATATCTAAAAGGATTAAATCTCCAGAAGTATGTTCTGTAATCATAATGCAATAAATTTACAAATCAAAAACAGAAACAATTTTGGAAATTTGCAAATATATGAAAAATTTAAAAACAATAATAGCCAATGGGCCAAAAACATAAATCACAAGGAATATTTAGAAAATATTTTCAGATGAAAGAAAAAGAAGACACAACATACCAAAACTTACAGGTTGCAACAAAAGCCAGTACCTTGTGGATAATTTATGGCTGTAAACACATACGTTAAAATTTAACAGAAAGATTCACCTGCCACCCTAACATACTATCAAAATAAGAGTAAACTAACCAAAGCAAGTAGAAATAGGAAATGATAAAGATTAGAGTGAAAATTAATGAAACAAAAAAATTCAAATGGAGAACATCAATGAAACTAAAAATTGGTCGTTTTCTCTGGAAATACCAAAAAAAAAGGAGGGGGGAACAAATCTTTTGCCTGAATGACCTGGGGAAAAAATAGACAATACTGAAATCACCAATATCAAGAATGAAAAAGGGGACATTACTAATATAACCTTATTGAGATAAAAATATGTATAAGAAAATACAATAAGAAATAGTATGCCAATGAATTAAGATAGCTTAGAGAAAATGGAGAAATTCCTAAAACACACGGACTCCCCAAAATGACTCAAAACTTACAAAAAAAAAAAAACTAAAGATCTAAAGAGACCTACAACTATCACAAGGCTAGAATTAGTAATTTTAAAAACTTTCCAAGAAGACTCCAGGCTCAGATGACTTCAATAGTGGAGTTTAATATTTAAAGAAGAATTTATACCAGTAATTTAGACATTAATCCTAAAAATAATAAAAGGGAAAGAACACTTCAAAACTAATTATATTAGTCACCCAATAACAAAGCAAGAGAAAAATATCACAAGGAAACTACAGACCCATAACTTATGAGTATAAGCATAATAATTCTCAGCAAAAGCTAGATACTAAACTTGGCAATATATGTGAGGGATTTATACATCATAGCCAAATAGGATTTATCCCAGGATTGCAAAACTGGTTCAGCATCTGAAAGTCAATGTAAATGACTAAGAAAATACTTGATCATTTTTACGGAGAGAAAGTATTTAACACAACCTAATATCCTTTCATAATAAAAACACTCAATAGATTAGGAATAGAAGTAGTCTTCCTCAATTTGATGAAGGGAATCTATTAAAACCCTACACTTAACATAATACTTAATGACTTTCTTAAAGACTGAATGCTTCTCCTCTAAAATCAGGAATAAGACAAGTTTATCTGCCCTCACCACTTTAATTCAACATCATACTAGATGTTCCAGCCAGGACCATTATGCGAGAAAAAGAAGTAAAAGGCAGGTTGCAACGACGGAGCAAAACTATCTCTGTGAAATGGCCATAATCTTGTATGTGGGTAGAGAAGCCAAAGGAATCCACTAATTAATAATAGAACTTATAATAAAT